>NC_000012.12:36779939-36797645 GCF_000001405.40 Homo sapiens
AGAATACTGAGTAAGTTCTTTGTGTTGCCTCTATTCAACTCACAGAGGTGAACTGGCCTTTATTGATTTTTTTTTTTTTTTTTTTTTTTTATTTTTTTTATTATACTCTCAGTTTTAGGGTACATGTGCACATTGTGCAGGTTAGTTACATATGTATACATGTGCCATACTGGTGCACTGCACCCACTAATGTGTCATCTAGCATTAGGTATATCATCATTCTCAGAAACTACTTTGTGATGTGTGCGTTCAATTCACAGAGTATAACCTTTCTTTTGATGGAGGAGTTTGGAGATACTGTCTTTGTAAAGTCTGCAAGCAGATATTTGGACCTCTTTGAGGCCTTCGTTGGAAACGGGATTTCTTCATATAATGTTTGATAGGAGAATTCTCAGTAACTTATTTGTGGTGTGTGTATTCAACTCACAGAGTTGAACCTTCCTTCAGAAAGAGCAGATTTGAAACACTCTTTTTGTGGAGTTTCCATGTGGAGATTTCAATCGCTTTGAGACCAAAGGTAGAAAAGGAAACATCTTCGTATAAAAACTAGACAGAATCATTCACAGAAACTACTTTGTGATGTGTGTGTTCAACTCAAGGAGTTTAACCTTTCTTTTGATGGAGCAGTTTGGAAACACTCTGTCTGTAAAGTCTGCAAGCAGATATTTGGACCCCTTTGAGGCCTTCGTTGGAAACGGGATTTCTTCATATAATGTTTGATAGGAGAAGTCTCAGTAACTTCTTTGTGCTGTGTGTATTCAACTCATAGAGTTGAACTTTCCTTTAGAAGAGCAGATGTTAAACACCCTTTTTGTGGAATTTGCAGCGGGAGATTTCAAGCGCTTTGAGTCCTACGGTAGAAATGGAAACATCTTATAAAATCTTGACAGAATCATTCACAGAAACTTCTTTTTGATGTGTGTGTTCAGCTCACAGAGTTTAACCTTTCTTTTGATGGAGCAGTTTGGAAACACTCTGTTTGTAATGTCTGCAAGTGGATATTTGGACCTCTTTGAGGCCTTCGTTGGAAACGGGATTTCTTCAAGTAATGTTCGACAGAAGAATTCTCAGTAACTTATTTGTGGTGTGTGTATTCAACTCACAGAGTTGAACCTTCCTTTAGACAGAGCAGATTTGAAACAGCCTATTTGTGCAGTTTCCAGTTGGAGATTTCAAGAGCTTTGAGACCAAATGTAGAAAAGGAAACATCTTCGTATAAAAACTAGACAGAATCATTCTCAGAAACTACTTTGTGATGTGTGCATTCAACTCAAGGAATTTAAGCTTTCTTTTCATAGAGTAGTTTGGAGACACTCTGTCTGTAAAGTCTGCAAGCAGATATTTGGACCTCTTTGGGGCCTTCGTTGGAAACGGGATTTCTTCATAGAACGCTAGAAAGAAGAATACTCAGTAACTTCTTTGTGTTGCCTCTATTCAACTCACAGAGGTGAACTGTCCTTTAGACACAGCAGATGTGAAACCCTCTTTTTGTGATATTTGCAGGTGGAGATTTCAAGCTCTTTTTGGCCAAATGTAGAAAAGGAAATATCTTCGTATAAAAACTAGACAGAATCAT
The DNA here is from genome assembly GCF_000001405.40 of Homo sapiens. Lineage (NCBI taxonomy): Eukaryota > Metazoa > Chordata > Mammalia > Primates > Hominidae > Homo > Homo sapiens. The sequence continues at coordinate 36,781,516 of NC_000012.12, forward strand.
TCTCAGAAACTACTTTGTGATGTGTGCTCAATTCACAGAGAATAACCTTTCTTTTGATGGAGGAGTTTGGAGACACTGTCTTTGTAAAGTCTGCAAGTGGACATTTGGACCTCTTTGAGGCCTTCGTTGGAAACGGGATTTCCTCATATAATGTTACACAGAAGAATTCTCAGTAACTGATTTGTGGTGTGTGTATTCAACTCACAGAGTTGAACCTTCCTTCAGAAAGAGCACATTTGAAACACTCTTTTTGTGGAGTTTCCATGTGGAGATTTCAATCGCTTTGAGACCAAAGGTAGAAAAGGAAACATCTTCGTATAAAAACTAGACAGAATCATTCACAGAAACTACTTTGTGATGTGTGTGTTCAACTCAAGGAGGTTAACCTTTCTTTTGATGGAGCAGTTTGGAAACACTCTGTCTGTAAAGTCTGCAAGCAGATATTTGGACCTCTTTGAGGCCTTCGTTGGAAACGGGATTTCTTCATATAATGTTTGATAGGAGAAGTCTCAGTAACTTCTTCGTGCTGTGTGTATTCAACTCATGGAGTTGAACTTTCCTTTAGAAGAGCAGATGTTAAACACCCTTTTTGTGGAATTTGCAGCTGGAGATTTCAAGCGCTTTGAGGCCTACGGTAGAGAAGGAAACATCTTCTTCTAAAGAATAGACAGAATCATTCACAGAAACTTCTTTTTGATGTGTGTGTTCAGCTCACAGAGTTTAACCTTTCTTTTGATGGAGCAGTTTGGAAACACTCTCTTTGTAATGTATGCAAGTGGATATTTGGGCCTCTTTGAGGCCGTCGTTGGAAACGGGACCTCTTCATGTAATGTTCGACAGAAGAATTCTCAGTAAGTTATTTGTGGTGTGTGTATTCAACTCACAGAGTTGAACCTTCCTTTAGACAGAGCAGATTTGAAACACCCTATTTGTGCAGTTTCCAGTTGGAGATTTCAATCGCTTGGAGGCCAATCATATAAACGGAAATATCTTCGTATAAAAACAAGACAGAATCATTCTCAGAAACTACTTTGTGATGTGTGCGTTCAACTCAAGGAGTTTAAGCTTTCTTTTCATAGAGTAGTTTGGAAACACTCTGTCTGTAAAGTCTGCAAGCAGATATTTGGACCTCTTTGAGGCCTTCGTTGGAAACGGGATTTCTTCATGTAACGCTAGAAAGAAGAATACTGAGTAAGTTCTTTTTGTTGCCTCTATTCAACTCACAGAGGTGAACTGTCCTTTAGACAGAGCAGATGTGAAACCCTCTTTTTGTGATATTTGCAGGTGGAGATTTCAAGCACTTTTAGGTCAAATGTAGAAAAGGAAACATCTTCGTATAAAAACTAGACAGAATCATTCTCAGAAACTACTTTGTGATGTGTGCGTTCAATTCACAGAGGATAACCTTTCTTTTGATGGAGGAGTTTGGAGACACTGTCTTTGTAAAGTCTGCAAGTGGATATTTGGATCTCTTTGAGGCCTTCGTTGGAAACGGGATTTCCTCATATAATGTTACACAGAAGAATTCTCAGTAACTTATTTGTGGTGTGTGTATTCAACTCACAGAGTTGAACCTTCCTTCGGAAAGAGCAGATTTGAAACACTCTTTTTGTGGAGTTTCCATGTGGAGATTTCAATCGCTTTGAGACCAAAGGTAGAAAAGGAAACATCTTCGTATAAAAACTAGACAGAATCATTCACAGAAACTACTTTGTGATGTGTGTGTTCAACTCAAGGAGTTTAACCTTTCTTTTGATGGAGCAGTTTGGAAACACTCTGTCTGTAATGTCTGCAAGCAGATATTTGGACCTCTTTGAGGCCTTCGTTGGAAACGGGATTTCTTCATATAATGTTTGATAGGAGAAGTCTCAGTAACTTCTTTGTGCGGTGTGTATTCAACGCATAGAGTTGAACTTTCCTTTAGAAGAGCAGATGTTAAACACCCTTTTTGTGGAATTTGCAGCTGGAGATTTCAAGCGCTTTGAGGCCTACGGTAGAAAAGGAAACATCTTCTTATAAAATCTAGACAGAATCATTCACAGAAACTTCTTTTTGATGTGTGTGTTCAGCTCACAGAGTTTAACCTTTCTTTTGATGGAGCAGTTTGGAAACACTCTGTTTGTAATGTCTGCAAGTGGATATTTGGACCTCTTTGAGGCCTTCGTTGGAAACGGGATTTCTTCAAGTAATGTTCGACAGAAGAATTCTCAGTAACTTATTTGTGGTGTGTGTATTCAACTCAAAGAGTTGAACCTTCCTTTAGACAGAGCAGATTTGAAACACCCTATTTGTGCAGTTTCCAGTTGGAGATTTCAATCGCTTTGAGACCAAATGTAGAAAAGGAAACATCTTCGTATAAAAACTAGACAGAATCATTCTCAGAAACTACTTTGTGATGTGTGCGTTCAACTCAAGGAGTTTACGCTTTCTTTTCATAGAGTAGTTTGGAAACACTCTGTCTGTAAAGTCTGCAAGCAGATCTTTGACCTCTTTGAGGCCTTCGTTGGAAACGGGATTTCTTCATAGAACGCTAGAAAGAAGAATACTGAGTAAGTTCTTTGTGTTGCCTCTATTCAACTCACAGAGGTGAACTGTCCTTTAGACAGAGCAGATGTGAAACCCTCTTTTTGTGATATTTGCAGGTGGAGATTTCAAGCACTTTTAGGCCAAATGTAGAAAAGGAAATATCTTCGTATAAAAACTAGACAGAATCATTCTCAGAAACTACTTTGTGATGTGTGCGTTCAATTCACGGAGTATAACCTTTCTTTTGATGGAGGAGTTTGGAGACACTGTCTTTGTAAAGTCTGCAAGTGGATATTTGGATCTCTTTGTGGCCTTCGTTGGAAACGGGATTTCCTCATATAATGTTACACAGAAGAATTCTCAGTAACTTATTTGTGGTGTGTGTATTCAACTCACAGAGTTGAACCTTCCTTCTGAAAGAGCAGATTTGAAACACTCTTTTTGTGGAGTTTCCATGTGGAGATTTCAATCGCATTGAGACCAAAGGTAGAAAAGGAAACATCTTCGTATAAAAACTAGACAGAATCATTCACAGAAACTACTTTGTGATGTGTGTGTTCAACTCAAGGAGGTTAACCTTTCTTTTGATGGAGCAGTTTGGAAACACTCTGTCTGTAAAGTCTGCAAGCAGATATTTGGACCTCTTTGAGGCCTTCTTTGGAAACGGGATTTCTTCATATAATGTTTGATAGGAGAAGTCTCAGTAACTTCTTTGTGCTGTGTGTATTCAACTCATAGAGTTGAACTTTCCTTTAGAAGAGCAGATGTTAAACACCCTTTTTGTGGAATTTGCAGCTGGAGATTTCAAGCGCTTTGAGGCCTACGGTAGAAAAGGAAACATCTTCTTATAAAATCTAGACAGAATCATTCACAGAAACTTCTTTTTGATGTGTGTGTTCAGCTCACAGAGTTTAACCTTTCTTTTGATGGAGCAGTTTGGAAACACTCTGTTTGTAATGTCTGCAAGTGGATATTTGGACCTCTTTGAGGCCTTCGTTGGAAACGGGATTTCTTCAAGTAATGTTCGACAGAAGAATTCTCAGTAACTTATTTGTGGTGTGTGTATTCAACTCACAGAGTTGAACCTTCCTTTAGACAGAGCAGATTTGAAACACCCTATTTGTGCAATTTCCAGTTGGAGATTTCAATCGCTTTGAGACCAAATGTAGAAAAGGAAACATCTTCGTATAAAAACTAGACAGAATCATTCTCAGAAACTACTTTGTGATGTGTGCGTTCAACTCAAGGAGTTTAAGCTTTCTTTTCATAGAGTAGTTTGGAAACACTCTGTCTGTAAAGTCTGCAAGCAGATATTTGGACCTCTTTGAGGCCTTCGTTGGAAACGGGATTTCTTCATAGAACGCTAGAAAGAAGAATACTGAGTAAGTTCTTTGTGTTGCCTCTATTCAACTCACAGAGGTGAACTGTCCTTTAGACAGAGCAGATGTGAAACCCTCTTTTTGTGATATTTGCAGGTGGAGATTTCAAGCACTTTTAGGCCAAATGTAGAAAAGGAAACATCTTCGTATAAAAACTAGACAGAATCATTCTCAGAAACTACTTTGTGATGTGTGCGTTCAATTCACAGAGTATAACCTTTCTTTTGATGGAGGAGTTTGGAGACACTGTCTTTGTAAAGTCTGCAAGTGGATATTTGGACCTCTTTGAGGCCTTCGTTGGAAACGGGATTTCCTCATATAATGTTACACAGAAGAATTCTCAGTAACTTATTTGTGGTGTGTGTATTCAACTCACAGAGATGAACCTTCCTTCAGAAAGAGCAGATTTGAAACACTCTTTTTGTGGAGTCTCCATGTGGAGATTTCAATCGCTTTGAGACCAAAGGTAGAAAAGGAAACATCTTCGTATAACAACTAGACAGAATCATTCAAAGAAACTAATTTGTGATGTGTGTGGTCAACTCAAGGAGTTTAACCTTTCTTTTGATAGAGCAGTTTGGAAAAACTCTGTCTGTAAAGTCTGCAAGCAGATATTTGGACCTCTTTGAGGCCTTCGTTGGAAACGGGATTTCTTCATATAATGTTTTATAGGAGAAGTCTCAGTAACTTCTTTGTGCTGTGTGCATTCAACTCATAGAGTTGAAATTTCCTTTAGAAGAGTAGATGTTAAACACCCTTTTTGTGGAATTTGCAGCTGGAGATTTCAAGCGCTTTGAGGCCTACTGTAGAAAAGGAAACATCTTCTTATAAAATCTAGACAGAATCATTCACAGAAACTTCTTTTCGATGTGTGTGTTTAGCTCACAGAGTTTAACCTTTCTTTTGATGGAGCAGTTTGGAAACACTCTGTTTGTAATGTCTGCAAGTGGATATTTGGACCTCTTTGAGGCCTTCGTTGGAAACGGGATTTCTTCAAGTAATGTTCGACAGAAGAATACTGAGTAAGTTCTTTTTGTTGCCTCTATTGAACTCACAGAGGTGAACTGTCCTTTAGACAGAGCAGATTTGAAACAGCCTATTTGTGCAGTTTCCAGTTGGAGATTTCAATCGCTTTGAGACAAATGTAGAAAAGGAAACATCTTCGTATAAAAACTAGACAGAATCATTCTCAGAAACTACTTTGTGATGTGTGCGTTCAACTCAAGGAGTTTAAGCTTTCTTTTCATAGAGTAGTTTGGAAACACTCTGTCTGTAAAGTCTGCAAGCAGATATTTGGACCTCTTTGGGGCCTTCGTTGGAAACGGGATTTCTTCATAGAACGCTAGAAAGAAGAATACTGAGTAAGTTCTTTGTGTTGCCTCTATTCAACTCACAGAGGTGAACTGTCCTTTAGACAGAGCAGATGTGAAACCCTCTTTTTGTGATATTTGCAGGTGGAGATTTCAAGCGCTCTTAGGCCAAATGTAGAAAAGGAAATATCTTCGTATAAAAACTAGACAGAATCATTCTCAGAAACTACTTTGTGACGTGTGCGTTCAATTCACAGAGTATAACCTTTCTTTTGATGGAGGAGTTTGGAGACACTGTCTTTGTAAAGTCTGCAAGTGGATATTTGGACCTCTTTGAGGCCTTCGTTGGAAACGGGATTTCCTCATATAATGTTACACAGAAGAATTCTCAGTAACTTATTTTTGGTGTGTGTATTCAACTCACAGAGATGAACCTTCCTTCAGAAAGAGCAGATTTGAAACACTCTTTTTGTGGAGTTTCCATGTGGAGATTTCAATCGCATTGAGACCAAAGGTAGAAAAGGAAACATCTTCGTATAAAAACTAGACAGAATCATTCACAGTAAACTACTTTGTGATGTGTGTGTTCAACTCAAGGAGTTTAACCTTTCTTTTGATGGAGCAGTTTGGAAACACTCTGTCTGTAAAGTCTGCAAGCAGATATTTGGACCTCTTTGAGGCCTTCGTTGAAAACGGGATTTCTTCATATAATGTTTGATAGGGAAGTCTCAGTAACTTCTTTGTGCTGTGTGTATTCAACTCATAGAGTTGAACTTTCCTTTAGAAGAGCAGATGTTAAACACCCTTTTTGTGGAATTTGCAGCTGGAGATTTCAAGCGCTTTGAGGCCTACGGTAGAAAAGGAAACATCTTCTTATAAAATCTAGACAGAATCATTCACAGAAACTTCTTTTTGATGTGTGTGTTCAGCTCACAGAGTTTGACCTTTCTTTTGATGGAGCAGTTTGGAAACACTCTGTTTGTAATGTCTGCAAGGGGATATTTGGACCTCTTTGAGGCCTTCGTTGGAAACGGGATTTCTTCATGTAATGGTCGACAGAAGAATTCTCAGTAACTTATTTGTGGTGTGTGTATTCAACTCACAGAGTTGAACCTTCCTTTAGACAGAGCAGATTTGAAACACCCTATTTGTGCATTTTCCAGTTGGAGATTTCAATCGCTTTGAGGCCAATCATAGAAACGGAAATATCTTCGTATAAAAACAAGACAGAATCATTCTCAGAAACTACTTTGTGATGTGTGCGTTCAACTCAAGGAGTTTAAGCTTTCTTTTCATAGAGTAGTTTGGAAACACTCTGTCTGTAAAGTCTGCAAGCAGATATTTGGACCTCTTTGAGGCCTTCGTTGGAAACGGGATTTCTTCATAGAACGCTAGAAAGAAGAATACTGAGTAAGTTCTTTGTGTTGCCTCTATTCAACTCACAGAGGTGAACTGTCCTTTAGACAGAGCAGATGTGAAACCCTCTTTTTGTGATATTTGCAGGTGGAGATTTCAAGCGCTTTTAGGCCAAATGTAGAAAAGGAAATATCTTCGTATAAAAACTAGACAGAATCATTCTCAGAAACTACTTTGTGGTGTGTGCGTTCAATTCACAGAGTATAACCTTTCTTTTGATGGAGGAGTTTGGAGACACTGTCTTTGTAAAGTCTGCAAGTGGATATTTGGACCTCTTTGAGGCCTTCGTTGGAAACGGGATTTCCTCATATAATGTTACACAGAAGAATTCTCAGTAACTTATTTGTGGTGTGTGTATTCAACTCACAGAGATGAACCTTCCTTCAGAAAGAGCAGATTTGAAACACTCTTTTTGTGGAGTTTCCATGTGGAGATTTCAATCGCTTTGAGACCAAAGGTAGAAAAGGAAACATCTTCGTATAACAACTAGACAGAATCATTCACAGAAACTACTTTGTGATGTGTGTGTTCAACTCAAGGAGTTTAACCTTTCTTTTGATGGAGCAGTTTGGAAACACTCTGTCTGTAAAGTCTGCAAGCAGATATTTGGACCTCTTTGAGGCCTTCGTTGGAAACGGGATTTCTTCATATAATGTTTGATAGGAGAAGTCTCAGTAACTTCTTTGTGCTGTGTGTATTCAACTCATAGAGTTGAACTTTCCTTTAGAAGAGCAGATGTTAATGACCCTTTTTGTGGAATTTGCAGCTGGAGATTTCAAGCACTTTGAGGCCTACGGTAGAAAAGGAAACATCTTCTTATAAAATCTAGACAGAATCATTCACAGAAACTTCTTTTTGATGTGTGTGTTCAGCTCACAGAGTTTAACCTTTCTTTTGATGGAGCAGTTTGGAAACACTCTGTTTGTAATGTCTGCAAGTGGATATTTGGACCTCTTTGAGGCCTTCGTTGGAAACGGGATTTCTTCATGTAATGTTCGACAGAAGAATTCTCAGTAACTTATTTGTGGTGTGTGTATTCAACTCACAGAGTTGAACCTTCCTTTAGACAGAGCAGATTAGAAACACCCTATTTGTGCAGTTTCCATTTGGAGATTTCAATCGCTTTGAGACCAAATGTAGAAAAGGAAACATCTTCGTATAAAAACTAGACAGAATCATTCTCAGAAACTACTTTGTGATGTGTGCGTTCAACTCAAGGAGTTTAAGCTTTCTTTTCATAGAGTAGTTTGGAAACACTCTGTCTGTAATGTCTGCAAGCAGATATTTGGACCTCTTTGAGGCCTTCGTTGGAAACGGGATTTCTTCATAGAACGCTAGAAAGAAGAATACTGAGTAAGTTCTTTGTGTTGCCTCTACTCAACTCACAGAGGTGAACTGTCCTTTAGACAGAGCAGATGTGAAACCCTCTTTTTGTGATATTTGCAGGTGGAGATTTCAAGCGCTTTTAGGCCAAATGTAGAAAAGGAAATATCTTCGTATAAAAACTAGACAGAATCATTCTCAGAAACTACTTTGTGATGTGTGCGTTCAATTCACAGAGTATAACCTTTCTTTTGATGGAGGAGTTTGGAGACACTGTCTTTGTAAAGTCTGCAAGTGGATATTTGGACCTCTTTGAGGCCTTCGTTGGAAACGGGATTTCCTCATATAATGTTACACAGAAGAATTCTCAGTAACTTATTTGTGGTGTGTGTATTCAACTCACAGAGTTGAACCTTCCTTCAGAAAGAGCAGATTTGAAACACTCTTTTTGTGGAGTTTCCATGTGGAGATTTCAATCGCTTTGAGACCAAAGGTAGAAAAGGAAACATCTTCGTATAAAAACTGGACAGAATCATTCACAGAAACTACTTTGTGATGTGTGTGTTCAACTCAAGGAGTTTAACCTTTCTTTTGATGGAGCAGTTTGGAAACACTCTGTCTGTAAAGTCTGCAAGCAGATATTTGGACCTCTTTGAGGCCTTCGTTGGAAACGGGATTTCTTCATATAATGTTTGATTGGAGAAGTCTCAGTAACTTCTTTGTGATGTGTGTATTCAACGCATAGAGTTGAACTTTCCTTTAGAAGAGCAGATGTTAAACACCCTTTTTGTGGAATTTGCAGCTGGAGATTTCAAGCGCTTTGAGGCCTACGGTAGAAAAGGAAACATCTTCTTATAAAATCTAGACAGAATCATTCACAGAAACTTCTTTTTGATGTGTGTGTTCAGCTCACAGTAGTTTAACCTTTCTTTTGATGGAGCAGTTTGGAAACACTCTGTTTGTAATGTCTGCAAGTGGATATTTGGACCTCTTTGAGGCCTTCGTTGGGAACGGGATTTCTTCATGTAATGTTCGACAGAAGAATTCTCAGTAACTTATTTGTGGTGTGTGTATTCAACTCACAGAGTTGAACCTTCCTTTAGACAGAGCAGATTTGAAACAGCCTATTTGTGCAGTTTCCAGTTGGAGATTTCAATCGCTTTGAGACCAAATGTAGAAAAGGAAACATCTTCGTATAAAAACTAGACAGAATCATTCTCAGAAACTACTTTGTGATGTGTGCGTTCAACTCAAGGAGTTTAAGCTTTCTTTTCATAGAGTAGTTTGGAAACACTCTGTCTGTAAAGTCTGCAAGCAGATATTTGGACCTCTTTGGGGCCTTCGTTGGAAACGGGATTTCTTCATAGAACGCTAGAAAGAAGAATACTGAGTAAGTTCTTTGTGTTGCCTCTATTCAACTCACAGAGGTGAACTGTCCTTTAGACAGAGCAGATGTGAAACCCTCTTTTTGTGATATTTGCAGGTGGAGATTTCAAGCGCTTTTAGGCCAAATGTAGAAAAGGAAATATCTTCGTATAAAAACTAGACAGAATCATTCTCAGAAACTACTTTGTGATGTGTGCGTTCAATTCACAGAGTATAACCTTTCTTTTGATGGAGGAGTTTGGAGACACTGTCTTTGTAAAGTCTGCAAGTGGATATTTGGACCTCTTTGAGGCCTTCGTTGGAAACGGGATTTCCTCATATAATGTTACACAGAAGAATTCTCAGTAACTTATTTGTGGTGTGTGTATTCAACTCACAGAGATGAACCTTCCTTCAGAAAGAGCAGATTTGAAACACTCTTTTTGTGGAGTTTCCATGTGGAGATTTCAATCGCTTTGAGACCAAAGGTAGAAAAGGAAACATCTTCGTATAAAAACTAGACAGAATCATTCACAGAAACTACTTTGTGATGGGTGTGTTCAACTCAAGGAGTTTAACCTTTCTTTTGATGGAGCAGTTTGGAAACACTCTGTCTGTAAAGTCTGCAAGCAGATATTTGGACCTCTTTGAGGCCTTCGTTGGAAACGGGATTTCTTCATATAATGTTTGATAGGAGAAGTCTCAGTAACTTCTTTGTGCTGTGTGTATTCAACTCATAGAGTTGAACTTTCCTTTAGAAGAGCAGATGTTAAACACCCTTTTTGTGGAATTTGCAGCTGGAGATTTCAAGCGCTTTGAGGCCTACGGTAGAAAAGGAAACATCTTCTTATAAAATCTAGACAGAATCATTCACAGAAACTTCTTTTTGATGTGTGTGTTCAGCTCATAGAGTTTAACCTTTCTTTTGATGGAGCAGTTTGGAAACACTCTGTTTGTAATGTCTGCTAGTGGATATTTTGACCTCTTTGAGGCCGTCGTTGGAAACGGGATCTCTTCATGTAATGTTCGACAGAAGAATTCTCAGTAACTTATTTGTGGTGTGTGTATTCAACTCACAGAGTTGAACCTTCCTTTAGACAGAGCAGATTTGAAACACCCTATTTGTGCAGTTTCCAGTTGGAGATTTCAATCGCTTTGAGACCAAATGTAGAAAAGGAAACATCTTCGTATAAAAACTAGACAGAATCATTCTCAGCAAACTACTTTGTGATGTGTGCGTTTAACTCAAGGAGTTTAAGCTTTCTTTTCATAGAGTAGTTTGGAAACACTCTGTCTGTAAAGTCTGCAAGCAGATATTTGGACCTCTTTGAGGCCTTCGTTGGAAACGGGATTTCTTCATAGAACGCTAGAAAGAAGAATACTGAGTAAGTTCTTTGTGTTGCCTCTATTCAACTCACAGAGGTGAACTGTCCTTTAGACAGAGCAGATGTGAAACCCTCTTTTTGTGATATTTGCAGGTGGAGATTTCAAGCGCTTTTAGGCCAAATGTAGAAAAGGAAATATCTTCGTATAAAAACTAGACAGAATCATTCTCAGAAACTACTTTGTGATGTGTGCGTTCAATTCACAGAGTATAACCTTTCTTTTGATGGAGGAGTTTGGAGACACTGTCTTTGTAAAGTCTGCAAGTGGATATTTGGACCTCTTTGAGGCCTTCGTTGGAAACGGGATTTCCTCATATAATGTTACACAGAAGAATTCTCAGTAACTTATTTGTGGTGTGTGTATTCAACTCACAGAGTTGAACCTTCCTTCAGAAAGAGCAGATTTGAAACACTCTTTTTGTGGAGTTTCCATGTGGAGATTTCAATCGCTTTGAGACCAAAGGTAGAAAAGGAAACATCTTCGTATAAAAACTGGACAGAATCATTCACAGAAACTACTTTGTGATGTGTGTGTTCAGCTCACAGAGTTTAACCTTTCTTTTGATGGTGCAGTTTGGAAACACTCTGTTTGACAAGTCTGCAAGTGGATATTTGGACCTCTTTGAGGCCTTCGTTGGAAACGGGATTTCTTCATATAATGTTAGACAGAAGAAGTCTCAGTAACTTCTTTGTGCTGTGTGTATTCAACTCACAGAGCTGAACTTTACTTTAGACAGAGCAGATGTTAAACACACTTTTTTTGGAATTTGCAGGTGGAGATTTCTAGCGCTTTGAGGCCTACGGTAGAAAAGGAAACATCTTCTTATAAAATCTAGACAGAATCATTCACAGAAACTTCTTTTTGATGTGTGTGTTCAGCTCACAGAGTTTAACCTTTCTTTTGATGGAGCAGTTTGGAAACACTCTGTTTGTAATGTCTGCAAGTGGATATTTGGACCTCTTTGAGGCCTTCTTTGGAAACCGTATTTCTTCATGTAATGTTCGACAGAAGAATTCTCAGTAACTTATTTGTGGTGTGTGTATTCAACTCACAGAGTTGAGCCTTCCTTTAGACAGAGCAGATTTGAAACAACCTATTTGTGCAGTTTGCACTTGGAGATTTCAATCGCTTTGAGACCAAATGTAGAAAAGGAAACATCTTCGTATAAAAACTAGACACAATCATTCTCAGAAACTACTTTGTGATGTGTGCGTTCAACTCAAGGAGTTTAAGCTTTCTTTTCATAGAGTAGTTTGGAAACACTCTGTCTGTAAAGTCTGCAAGCAGATATTTGGACCTCTTTGAGGCCTTCGTTGGAAACGGGATTTCTTCATAGAACGCTAGAAAGAAGAATACTGAGTAAGTTCTTTGTGTTGCCTCTATTCAACTCACAGAGGTGAACTGTCCTTTAGACAGAGCAGATGTGAAACCCTCTTTTTTTGATATTTGCTGGTGGAGATTTCAAGCGCTTTTAGGCCAAATGTAGAAAAGGAAATATCTTCGTATAAAAACTAGACAGAATCATTCTCAGAAACTACTTTGTGATGTGTGCGTTCAATTCACAGAGTATAACCTTTCTTTTGATGGAGGAGTTTGGAGACACTGTCTTTGTAAAGTCTGCATGTGAATATTTGGACCTCTTTGAGGCCTTCGTTGGAAACGGGATTTCCTCATATAATGTTACACAGAAGAATTCTCAGCAACTTATTTGTGGTGTGTGTATTCAACCTACAGAGTTGAACCTTCCTTCAGAAAGAGCAGATTTGAAACACTCTTTTTGTGGAGTTTCCATGTGGAGATTTCAATCGCTTTGAGACCAAAGGTAGAAAAGGAAACATCTTCGTATAAAAACTAGACAGAATCATTCACAGAAACTACTTTGTGATGTGTGTGTTCAACTCAAGGAGTTTAACCTTTCTTTTGATGGAGCAGTTTGGAAAAACTCTGTCTGTAAAGTCTGCAAGCAGATATTTGGACCTCTTTGAGGCCTTCGTTGGAAACGGGATTTCTTCATATAATGTTTGATAGGAGAAGTCTCAGTAACTTCTTTGTGCTGTGTGTATTCAACTCATAGAGTTGAACTTTCCTTTAGAAGAGCAGATGTTAAACACCCTTTTTGTGGAATTTGCAGCTGGAGATTTCAAGCGCTTTGAGGCCTACGGTAGAAAAGGAAACATCTTCTTATAAAATCTAGACAGAATCATTCACAGAAACTTCTTTTTGATGTGTGTGTTCAGCTCACAGAGTTTAACCTTTCTTTTGATGGAGCAGTTTGGAAACACTCTGTTTGTAATGTCTGCAAGTGGATATTTGGACCTCTTTGAGGCCTTCGTTGGAAACGGGATTTCTTCATGTAATGTTCGACAGAAGAATTCTCAGTAACTTATTTGTGGTGTGTGTATTCAACTCACAGAGTTGAACCTTCCTTTAGACAGAGCAGATTTGAAACACCCTATTTGTGCAGTTTCCAGTTGGAGAGTTCAATCGCTTTGAGACCAAATGTAGAAAAGGAAACATCTTCGTATAAAAACTAGACAGAATCATTCTCAGAAACTACTTTGTGATGTGTGCGTTCAACTCAAGGAGTTTAAGCTTTCTTTTCATAGAGTAGTTTGGAAACACTCTGTCTGTAAAGTCTGCAAGCAGATATTTGGACCTCTTTAGGGCCTTCGTTGGAAACGGGATTTCTTCATAGAACGCTAGAAAGAAGAATACTGAGTAAGTTCTTTGTGTTGCCTCTATTCAACTCGCAGAGGTGAACTGTCCTTTAGACAGAGCAGATGTGAAACCCTCTTTTTGTGATATTTGCAGGTGGAGATTTCAAGCGCTTTTAGGCCAAATGTAGAAAAGGAAATATCTTCGTATAAAAACTAGACAGAATCATTCTCAGAAACTACTTTGTGATGTGTGCGTTCAATTCACAGAGTATAACCTTTCTTTTGATGGCGGAGTTTGGAGACACTGTCTTTGTAAAGTCTGCAAGTGGATATTTGGACCTCTTTGAGGCCTTCGTTGGAAACGGGATTTCCTCATATAATGTTACACAGAAGAATTCTCAGTAACTTATTTGTGGTGTGTGTATTCAACTCACAGAGTTGAACCTTCCTTCAGAAAGAGCAGATTTGAAACACTCTTTTTGTGGAGTTTCCATGTGGAGATTTCAATCGCATTGAGACCAAAGGTAGAAAAGGAAACATCTTCGTATAAAAACTAGACAGAATCATTCACAGAAACTACTTTGTGATGTGTGTGTTCAACTCAAGGAGTTTCACCTTTCTTTTGATGGAGCAGTTTGGAAACACTCTGTCTGTAAAGTCTGCAAGCAGATATTTGGACCTCTTTGAGGCCTTCGTTGGAAACGGGATTTCTTCATATAATGTTTGATAGGAGAAGTCTCAGTAACTTCTTTGTGCTGTGTGTATTCAACTCATAGAGTTGAACTTTCCTTTAGAAGAGCAGATGTTAAACACCCTTTTTGTGGAATTTGCAGCTGGAGATTTCAAGCGCTTTGAGGCCTACGGTAGAAAAGGAAACATCTTCTTATAAAATCTAGACAGAATCATTCACAGAAACTTCTTTTTGATGTGTGTGTTCAGCTCACAGAGTTTAACCTTTCTTTTGATGGAGCAGTTTGGAAACACTCTGTTTGTAATGTCTGCAAGTGGATATTTGGACCTCTTTGAGGCCTTCGTTGGAAACGGGATTTCTTCAAGTAATGTTCGGGAGAAGAATTCTCAGTAACTTATTTGTGGTGTGTGTATTCAACTCACAGAGTTGAACCTTCCTTTAGACAGAGCAGATTTGAAACACCCTATTTGTGCAGTTTCCAGTTGGAGATTTCAATCGCTTTGAGACCAAATGTAGAAAAGGAAACATCTTCGTATAAAAACTAGACAGAATCATTCTCCGAAACTACTTTGTGATGTGTGCGTTCAACTCAAGGAGTTTAAGCTTTCTTTTCATAGAGTAGTTTGGAAACACTCTGTCTGTAAAGTCTGCAAGCAGATATTTGGACCTCTTTGGGGCCTTCGTTGGAAACGGGTTTTCTTCATAGAATGCTAGAAAGAAGAATACTGAGTAAGTTCTTTGTGTTGCCTCTATTCAACTCACAGAGGTGAACTGTCCTTTAGACAGAGCAGATGTGAAACCCTCTTTTTGTGATATTTGCAGGTGGAGATTGCAAGCGCTTTTAGGCCAAATGTAGAAAAGGAAATATCTTCGTATAAAAACTAGACAGAATCATTCTCAGAAACTACTTTGTGATGTGTGCGTTCAATTCACAGAGTAGAACCTTTCTTTTGATGGAGGAGTTTGGAGACACTGTCTTTGTAAAGTCTGCAAGTGGATATTTGGACCTCTTTGAGGCCTTCGTTGGAAACGGGATTTCCTCATATAATGTTACACAGAAGAATTCTCAGTAACTGATTTGTGGTGTGTGTATTCAACTCAAAGAGTTGAACCTTCCTTCACAAAGAGCACATTTGAAACACTGTTTTTGTGGAGTTTCCATGTGGAGATTTCAATCGCTTTGAGACCAAAGGTAGAAAAGGAAACATCTTCGTATAAAAACTAGACAGAATCATTCTCAGAAACTACTTTGTGATGTGTGCATTCAATTCACAGAGTATAACCTTTCTTTTGATGGAGGAGTTTGGAGACACTGTCTTTGTGAAGTCTGCAAGCAGATATTTGGACCTCTTTGAGGCCTTCGTTGGAAACGGGATTTCTTCATATAATGTTTTATAGGAGAAGTCTCAGTAACTTCTTTGTGCTGTGTGTATTCAACTCATACAGTTGAACTTTCCTTTAGAAGAGCAGATGTTAAACACCCTTTTTGTGGAATTTGCACCTGGAGATTTCAAGCGCTTTGAGGCCTACGGTAGAAAAGGAAACATCTTCTTATAAAATCTAGACAGAATCATTCACAGAAACTTCTTTTTGATGTGTGTGTTCAGCTCACAGAGTTTAACCTTTCTTTTGATGGAGCAGTTTGGAAACGCTCTGTTTCTAATGTCTGCAAGTGGATATTTGGACCTCTTTGAGGCCTTCGTTGGAAACGGGATTTCTTCAAGTAATGTTCGACAGAAGGATTCTCAGTAACTTATTTGTGGTGTGTGTATTCAACTCACAGAGTTGAACCTTCCTTTAGACAGAGCAGATTTGAAACACCCTATTTGTGCAGTTTCCAGTTGGAGATTTCAATCGCTTTGAGACCAAATGTAGAAAAGGAAACATCTTCGTATAAAAACTAGACAGATTGTTTTGTTTTTGAGACAGTCTTGCTCTGTCACCCAGGCTGGAGTGCAGGGGTGGGATCTCTGCGCACTGTAACCTCTGCCTCCCAGGTTCAAGCGATTCTCCTGTCTAAACGTCCCGAGTAGCTGGGACTACGGGTGCCAGCCACCATGCCCGGCTAATTTTTTGT
>NC_000012.12:37235252-37240944 GCF_000001405.40 Homo sapiens
ACAGTTCACCTCTGTGAGTTGAATAGAGGCAACACAAAGAACTTACTCAGTATCTTCTTTCTAGCGTTATATGACGAAATCCCGTTTCCAACGAAGGCCTCAAAGAGGTCCAAATATCTGCTTGCAGACTTTACAGACAGAGTGTTTCCAAACTACTCTATGAAAAGAAAGCTTAAACTCCGTGAGTTGAACGCACACATCACAAAGTAGTTTCTGAGAATGATTCTGTCTTGTTTTTATACGAAGATATTTCCGTTTCTACGATTGGCCTCAAAGCGATTGAAATCTCCAAGTGGAAACTGCACAAATAGGGTGTTTCAAATCTGCTCTGTCTAAAGGAAGGTTCAACTCTGTGAGTTGAATACACACACCACAAATAAGTTACTGAGAATTCTTCTCTCGAACATTACATGAAGAAATCCCGTTTCCAACGAAGGCCTCAAAGAGGTCCAAATATCCAGTTGCCGACAATGCAAACACAGTTTTTCCAAACTGCTCCGTCAAAAGAAAGGTTAAACACTGTGAGATGAACACACACATCAAAAAGAAGTTTCTGTGAATGACTCTGTCTGGATTTTATAAGAAGATGTTTCCTTTTCTACCATAGGCCTCAAAGCGCTAGAAATCTCCAGCTGCAAATTCCACAAAAAGTGTGTTTAACATCCGCTCTGTCTAAAGTAAAGTTCAGCTCTGTGAGTTGAATACACACAGCACAAAGAAGTTACTGAGACTTCTTCTGTCTAACATTATATGAAGAAATCCCTTTTCCAACGAAGGCCTCAAAGAGGTCCAAATATCCACTTGCAGACGTGACAAACAGAGTGTTTCCAAACTACTGCATCAAAAGAAAGGTTAAACTCTGTGAGTTGAACACACACATCACAAAGTAGTTTCTGTGAATGATTCTGTCTAGTTTTTATACGAAGATGTTTCCTTTTCTACCTTTGGTCTCAAAGCGATTGAAATCTCCACATGGAAACTCCACAAAAAGAGTGTTTCAAATCTGCTCTTTCTGAAGGAAGGTTCAACTCTGTGAGTTGAATACACACACCACAAATAAGTTACTGAGAATTCTTCTGTGTAACATTATATGAGGAAATCCCGTTTCCAACGAAGGCCTGCAAGAGGTCCAAATATCCACTTGCAGACTTTACAAAGACAGTGTCTCCAAACTCCTCCATGAAAAGAAAGGTTATACTCTGTGAATTGAACGCACACATCACAAAGTAGTTTCTGAGAATGATTCTGTCTAGTTTTTATACGAAGATATTTCCTTTTCTACATTTGGCCTAAAAGCGCTTGAAATCTCCACCAGCAAATATCACAAAAAGAGGGTTTCACATCTGCTCCGTCTAAAGGACAGTTCACCTCTGTGAGTTGAATAGAGGCAACACAAAGAACTTACTCAGTATTCTTCTTTCTAGCATTATATGAAGAAACCCCGTTTCCAATGAAGGCCTCAAAGAGGTCCAAATATCTGCTTGCAGACTTTACAGACAGAGTGTTTCCAAACTACTCTATGAAAAGAAAGCTTAAACTCCGTGAGTTGAACACACACATCACAAAGTAGTTTCTGAGAATGATTCTGTCTTGTTTTTATACGAAGATATTTCCGTTTCTACGATTGGCCTCAAAGCGATTGAAATCTCCAACTGGAAACTGCACAAATAGGGTGTTTCAAATCTGCTCTGTCTAAAGGAAGGTTCAAATCTGTGAGCTGAATACACACACCACAAATAAGTTACTGAGAATTCTTCTGTCGAACATTACATGAAGAAATCCCGTTTCCAACGAAGGCCTCAAAGAGGTCCAAATATCCACTTGCCGACATGGCAAACACAGTGATTGCAAACTGCTCCATCAAAAGAAAGGTTAAACTCTGTGAGATAAACACACACATCAAAAAGAAGTTTCTGTGAATGATTCTGTCTAGATTTTATAAGAAGATGTTTCCTTTTCTACCATAGGCCTCAAAGCGCTAGAAATCTCCAGCTGCAAATTCCACAAAAAGTGTGTTTAACATCTGCTCTGTCTAAAGTAAAGTTCAGCTCTGTGAGTTGAATACACACAGCACAAAGAAGTTACTGAGACTTCTTCTGTCTAACATTATATGAAGAAATCCCGTTTCCAACGAAGGCCTCAAAGAGGTCCAAATATCCACTTGCAGACTTGTCAAACAGAGTGTTTCCAAACTGCACCATCAAAAGAAAGGTTAAACTCTGTGAGCTGAACACACACATCACAAAGTAGTTTCTGTGAATGATTCTGTCTCGTTTTTATACGAAGATGTTTCCTTTTCTACCTTTGGTCTCAAAGCGATTGAAATCTCCACATGGAAACTCCACAAAAAGAGTGTTTCAAATCTGCTCTTTCTGAAGGAAGGTTCAACTCTGTGAGTTGAATACACACACCACAAATAAGTTACTGAGAATTCTTCTGTGTAACATTATATGAGGAAATCCCGTTTCCAACGAAGGCCTCAAAGAGGTCCAAATATCCACTTGCAGACTTTACAAAGACAGTGTCTCCAAACTCCTCCATCAAAAGAAAGGTTATACTCTGTGAATTGAACGCACACATCACAAAGTAGTTTCTGAGAATGATTCTGTCTAGTTTTTATACGAAGATATTTCCTTTTCTACATTTGGCCTAAAAGCGCTTGAAATCTCCACCTGCAAATATCACAAAAAGAGGGTTTCACATCTGCTCTGTCTAAAGGACAGTTCACCTCTGTGAGTTGAATAGAGGCAACACAAAGAACTTACTCAGTATTCTTCTTTCTAGCGTTATATGAAGAAATCCCGTTTCCAACGAAGGCCTCAAAGAGGTCCAAATATCTGCTTGCAGACTTTACAGACAGAGTGTTTCCAAACTGCTCTATCAAAACAAAGCTTAAACTCCGTGAGTTGAACACACACATCACAAAGTAGTTTCTGAGAATGATTCTGTCTTGTTTTTATATGAAGATGTTTCCGTTTCTACCTTTGGCCTCAGAGCGATTGAATCTCCAACTGGAAACTCCACAAATAGAGTGTTTCAATCTGCTCTGTCTAAAGGAAGGTTCAACTCTGTGAGTTGAATACACACACCACAAATAAGTTACTGAGAATTCTTCTCTCGAATATTACATGAAGAAATCCCGTTTCCAACGAAGGCCTCAAAGAGGTCCAAATATCCACTTGCAGACTTTACAAAGACAGTGTCTCCAAACTCCTCCATCAAAAGAAAGGTTATACTCTGTGAATTGAACGCACACATCACAAAGTAGTTTCTGAGAATGATTCTGTCTAGTTTTTATACGAAGATATTTCCTTTTCTACATTTGGCCTAAAAGCGCTTGAAATCTCCACCTGCAAATATCACAAAAAGAGGGTTTCACATCTGCTCTGTCTAAAGGACAGTTCACCTCTGTGAGTTGAATAGAGGAAACACAAAGAAGTTACTGAGTATTCTTCTTTCTAGCGTTATATGAAGAAATCCCTTTAACAACGAAGGCCTCAAAGAGGTCCAAATATCTGCTTGCAGACTTTACAGACAGAGTGTTTCCAAACTTCTCTATGAAAAGAAAGCTTAAACTCCGTGAGTTGAACGCACACATCACAAAGTAGTTTCTGAGAATGATTCTGTCTTGTATTTATACGAAGATATTTCCGTTTCTACGATTGGCCTCAAAGCGATTGAAATCTCCAACTGGAAACTGCACAAATAGGGTGTTTCAAATCTGCTCTGTCTAAAGGAAGGTTCAACTCTGTGAGTTGAATACACACACCACAAATAAGTTACTGAGAATTCTTCTCTCGAACATTACATGAAGAAATCCCGTTTCCAACGAAGGCGTCAAAGAGGTCCAAATATCCAGTTGCCGACATGGCAAACACAGTGTTTGCAAACTGCTCCATCAAAAGAAAGGTTAAACTCTGTGAGATGGACACACACATCAAAAAGAAGTTTCTGTGAATGATGCTGTCTAGATTTTATAAGAAGATGTTTCCTTTTCTACCATAGGCCTCAAAGCGCTAGAAATCTCCAGCTGCAAATTCCACAAAAAGTGTGTTTAACATCTGCTCTGTCTAAAGTAAAGTTCAGCTCTGTGAGTAGAATACACACAGCACAAAGAAGTTACTGAGACTTCTTCTGTCTAACATTATATGAAGAAATCCCGTTTCCAACGAAGGCCTCAAAGAGGTCCAAATATCCACTTGCAGACTTGTCAGAGTGTTTCCAAACTGCACCATCAAAAGAAAGGTTAAACTCTGTGAGCTGAACACACACATCACAAAGCAGTTTCTGTGAATGATTCTGTCTAGTTTTTATACGAAGATGTTTCCTTTTCTACCTTTGGTCTCAAAGCGATTGAAATCTCCACATGGAAACTCCACAAAAAGAGTGTTTCAAATCTGCTCTTTCTGAAGGAAGGTTCAACTCTGTGAGTTGAATACACACACCACAAATAAGTTACTGAGAATTCTTCTGTGTAACATTATATGAGGAAATCCCGTTTCCAACGAAGGCCTCAAAGAGGTCCAAATATCCACTTGCAGACTTTACAAAGACAGTGTCTCCAAACTCCTCCATCAAAAGAAAGGTTATACTCTGTGAATTGAACGCACACATCACAAAGTAGTTTCTGAGAATGATTCTGTCTAGTTTTTATACGAAGATATTTCCTTTTCTACATTTGGCCTAAAAGCGCTTGAAATCTCCACCTGCAAATATCACAAAAAGAGGGTTTCACATCTGCTCTGTCTAAAGGACAGTTCAACTCTGTGAGTTGAATAGAGGCAACACAAAGAAGTTACTGAGTATTCTTCTTTCTAGCGTTATATGAAGAAATCCCTTTTCCAACGAAGGCCTCAAAGAGGTCCAAATATCTGCTTGCAGACTTTACAGACAGAGTGTTTCCAAACTACTCTAAGAAAAGAAAGCTTAAACTCCGTGAGTTGAACGCACACATCACAAAGTAGTTTCTGAGAATGATTCTGTCTTGTATTTATACGAAGATATTTCCGTTTCTACGATTGGCCTCAAAGCGATTGAAATCTCCAACTGGAAACTGCACAAATAGGGTGTTTCAAATCTGCTCTGTCTAAAGGAAGGTTCAACTCTGTGAGTTGAATACACACACCACAAATAAGTTACTGAGAATTCTTCTCTCGAACATTACATGAAGAAATCCCGTTTCCAACGAAGGCCTGAAAGAGGTCCAAATATCCAGTTGCCGACAATGCAAACACAGTGTTTCCAAACTGCTCCGTCAAAAGAAAGGTTAAACTCTGTGAGATGAACACACACATCAGAAAGAAGTTTCTGTGAATGATTCTGTCTAGATTTTATAAGAAGATGTTTCCTTTTCTACCATAGGCCTCAAAGCGCTAGAAATCTCCAGCTGCAAATTCCACAAAAAGTGTGTTTAACATCTGCTCTGTCTAAAGTAAAGTTCAGCTCTGTGAGTTGAATACACACAGCACAAAGAAGTTACTGAGACTTCTTCTGTCTAACATTATATGAAGAAATCCCGTTTCCAACGAAGGCCTCAAAGAGGTCCAAATATCCACTTGCAGACTTGTCAGAGTGATTGCTAGCTGCACCATCCAAAGAAAGGTTAGACTCTGTGAGCTGATCACACACATCACAAAGTAGTTACTGTGAATGAGTCTGTCTAGCTTGTTATACGAAGATGTATCCTTTTCTA
>NC_000012.12:37245716-37255332 GCF_000001405.40 Homo sapiens
GATTGAATCTCCACATGGAAACTCCACAAAAAGAGTGTTTCAAATCTGCTCTTTCTGAAGGAAGGTTCAACTCTGTGAGTTGAATACACACACCACAAATAAGTTACTGAGAATTCTTCTGTGTAACATTATATGAGGAAATCCCGTTTCCAACGAAGGCCTCAAAGAGGTCCAAATATGCACTTGCAGACTTTACAAAGACAGTGTCTCCGAACTCCTCCATCAAAAGAAAGGTTATACTCTGTGAATTGAACGCACACATCACAAAGTAGATTCTGAGAACGATTCTGTCTACTTTTTATAAGAAGATATTTCCTTTTCCACATTTGGCCTAAAAGCCATTGAAATCTCCACATGGAAACTCCACAAAAAGAGTGTTTCAAATCTGCTCTGTCTAAAGGAAGGTTCACCTCTGTGAGTTGAATAGAGGCAACACCAAGAACTTACTCAGTATTCTTCTGTGTAGCATTATATGAGGAAATCCCGTTTCCAACGAAGGCCTCAAAGAGGTCCAAATATCCACTTGCAGACTTTACAAAGACAGTGTCTCCAAACTCCTCCATCAAAAGAAAGGTTATACTCTGTGAATTGAACGCACACATCACAAAGTAGTTTCTGAGAATGATTCTGTCTAGTTTTTATACGAAGATATTTCCTTTTCTACATTTGGCCTAAAAGCGCTTGAAATCTCCACCTGCAAATATCACAAAAAGAGGGTTTCACATCTGCTCTGTCTAAAGGACAGTTCAACTCTGTGAGTTGAATAGAGGCAACACAAAGAAGTTACTGAGTATTCTTCTTTCTAGCGTTATATGAAGAAATCCCGTTTCCAACGAAGGCCTCAAAGAGGTCCAAATATCTGCTTGCAGACTTTACAGACAGAGTGTTTCCAAACTACTCTATGAAAAGAAAGCTTAAACTCCATGAGTTGAACGCACACATCACAAAGTAGTTTCTGAGAATGATTCTGTCTCGTTTTTATAGGAAGATATTTCCGTTTCTATGATTGGCCTCAAAGCGAATGAAATCTCCAACTGGAAACTGCACAAATAGGGTGTTTCAAATCTGCTCTGTCTAAAGGAAGGTTCAACTCTGTGAGTTGAATACACACACCACAAATAAGTTACTGAGAATTCTTCTCTCGAACATTACATGAAGAAATCCCGTTTCCAACGAAGGCCTCAAAGAGGTCCAAATATCCAGTTGCCGACAATGCAAACACAGTGTTTGCAAACTGCTCCATCAAAAGAAAGGTTAAACTCTGTGAGATGAACACACACATCAAAAAGAAGTTTCTGTGAATGATTCTGTCTAGATTTTATAAGATGATGTTTCCTTTTCTACCATAGGCCTCAAAGCGCTAGAAATCTCCAGCTGCAAATTCCACAAAAAGTGTGTTGAACATCTGCTCTGTCTAAAGTAAAGTTCAGCTCTGTGAGTTGAATACACACAGCACAAAGAAGTTACTGAGACTTCTTCTGTCTAACATTATATGAAGAAATCCCGTTTCCAACGAAGGCCTCAAAGAGGTCCAAATATCTGCTTGCAGACATTACAGACAGAGTGTTTCCAAACTACTCTATGAAAAGAAAGCTTAAACTCCGTGAGTTGAACGCACACATCACAAAGAAGTTTCTGAGAATGATTCTGTCTTGTTTTTATACGAAGATATTTCCGTTTCTACGATTGGCCTCAAAGCGATTGAAATCTCCAACTGGAAACTGCACAAATAGGGTGTTTCAAATCTGCTCTCTCTCGAGGAAGTTTCAACTCTGTGAGTTGAATACACACACCATAAATAAGTTACTGAGAATTCTTCTGTCGAACTTTACATGAAGAAATCCCGTTTCCAACGAAGGCCTCAAAGAGGTCCCAATATCCACTTGCAGACTTGACAAACACAGTGTTTCCAAACTGCTCCATCAAAAGAAATGTTAAACTCTGTGAGCTGAACACACACATCAAAAAGTAGTTTCTGTGAACGATTCTGTCTAGATTTTATACGAAGATGTTTCGTTTTCTACCATAGGCCTCAAAGCGCTTGAAATCTCCAGCTGCAAATTCCACAGAAAGTGTGTTTCACATGTGCTCTGTCTAAAGTAAAGTTCACCTCTGTGAGTTGAATACACACAGCACAAATAAGTTACTGAGACTTCTTCTGTCTAACATTATATGAAGAAATCCCTTTTCCAAAGAAGGCCTCAAAGAGGTCCAAATATCCACTTGCAGGCTTGACAAACAGAGTGTTTCCAAACTGCTCCATCAAAAGAAAGGTTAAACTCTGTGAGCTGAACACTCACATCAAAAAGTAGTTTCTGTGTATGATTCTGTCTAGTTTTTATACGAAGATGTTTCCTTTTCTACCTTTGGTCTCAAAGCGATTGAAATCTCCACATGGAAACTCCACAAAAAGAGTGTTTCAAATCTGCTCTTTCAGAAGGAAGGTTCAACTCTGTGAGTTGAATACACACACCACAAATAAGTTACTGAGAATTCTTCTGTGTAACATTATATGAGGAAATCCCGTTTCCAACGAAGGCCTCAAAGAGTTCCAAATATCCACTTGCAGACATTACAAAGACAGTGTCTCCAAACTCCTCCATCAAAAGAAAGGTTATACTCTGTGAATTGAACGCACACATCACAAAGCAGTTTCTGAGAATGATTCTGTCTAGTTTTTATACGAAGATATTTCCTTTTCTACATTTGGCCTAAAAGCGCTTGAAATCTGCACCTGCAAATGTCACAAAAAGAGGGTTTCACATCTGCTCTGTCGAAAGGACAGTTCACCTCTGTGAGTTGAATAGAGGCAACACTAAGAAGTTACTGAGTATTCTTCTTTCTAGCGTTATATGAAGAAATCCCGTTTCCAACGAAGGCCTGAAAGAGGTCCAAATATCTGCTTGAACACTTTACAGACAGAGTGTTTCCAAACTACTCTATAAAAAGAAAGCTTAAACTCCGTGAGTTGAACGCACACATCACAATGTAGTTTCTGAGAATGATTCTGTCTTTTTTTTTATACGAAGATATTTCCGTTTCTACGATTGGCCTCAAAGTGATTGAATTCTACAACTGGAAACTGCACAAATAGGGTGTTTCAAATCTGCTCTGTCTAAAGGAAGGTTCAACTCTGTGAGTTGAATACACACACCACAAATAAGTTACCGAGAATTCTTCTGTCGAACATTACATGAAGAAATCCAGTTTCCAACGAAGGCCTCAAAGAGGTCCAAATATCCACTTGCAGACATTACAAACAGAGTGTTTCCAACCTGCTGCAACAAAAGAAAGGTTAAACTCTGTGAGCTGAACACACACATCACAAAGAAGTTTCTGTGAATGATTCTGTCTAGATTATATACAAAGATGTTTCCTTTTCTACCATTGGTCTCAAAGCGATTGAAATCTCCACATGGAAACTCCACAAAAAGAGTGTTTCCAATCTGCTCTTTGTGAAGGAAGGTTCAACTCTGTGAGTTGAATACACACCCCACAAATAAGTTACTGATAATTCTTCTGTGTAACATTATATGAGGAAATCCCGTTTCCAACGAAGGCCTCAAAGAGGTCCAAATATCCACTTGCAGACTTTACAAATACAGTTTCTCCAAACTCCTCCATCAAAAGAAAGGTTATACTCTGTGAATTGAACGCACACATCACAAAGTAGTTTCTGAGAATGAAACTAATTTTTATACGAAGATATTTCCTTTTCTACATTTGGCCTAAAAGCGCTTGAAATCTGCACCTGCGAATATCACAAAAAGAAGGTTTCACATGTGCTCTGTCTAAAGGACAGTTCACCTCTGTGAGTTGAATAGAGGCAACACAAAGAAGTTACTGAGTATTCTTCTTTCTAGCGTGATATGAAGAAATCCCGTTTCCAACGAAGGCCTCAAAGAGGTCCAAATATCTGCTTGCAGACTTTACAAACAGAGTGTTTCCAAACTACTCTATGAAAAGAAAGCTTAAACTTCGTGAGTTGAACGCACACATCACAAAGTGGTTTCTGTGTATGATTCTGTCTTGTATTTATACGAAGATATTTCCGTTTCTACGATTGGCCTCAAAGCGATTGAAATCTCCAACTGGAAACTGCACAAATAGAGTGTTTCAAATCTGTTCTGTCTAAAGGAAGTTTCAACTCTGTGAGTTGAATACACGCACCACAAATAAGTTACTGAGAATTCTTCTGTCAAACAGTATATGAAGAAATCCCGTGTCCAACGAAGGCCTCAAAGAGGTCCAAATATCCACTTGCAGACTTGAAAAACAGAGTGTTTCCAAACTGCTCCATCAAAGGAAAGGTTAAACTTTGTGAGTTGAACACACACTTCAAAAAGTAGTTTCTGTGAATGATTCTGCCTAGTTTTTATACGAAGATGTTTCCTTTTCTACCTTTGGTCTCAAAGCGATTGAAATCTTCACATGGAAACTCCAGAAAAAGAGTGTTTCAAATCTGCTCTTTCTGAAGGAAGATTCAACTCTGAGTTGAATACACACACCACAAATAACTTACTGGGAATTCTTCTGTGTAACATTCTATGAGGAAATCCCGTTTCCAATGAAGGCTTCAAAGAGGTCCAAATATGTACTTGCAGACTTTACAAAGACAGTGTTTCCAAACTCCTCTATCAAAAGAAAGATTATACTCTGTGAATTGAACGCACACATCACAAAGTAGTTTCTGAGAATGATTTTGTCTTGTTTTCATAGGAAGATATTTCCTTTTCTACCATTGGCCTCAAAGCAATTGAAATCTCCATCTGGAAACTCCACAAATAGAGTGTTTCAAATCTGCTCTGTCTAAAGGAGGGTACAACTCTGTGAGTTGAATACACACACCCCAAGTAAGTTACTGAGAATTCTGTCGAACATTACATGAAGAAATCCCGTTTCAAACGAAGGCCTCAAAGAGTTCAAAATATCCACTTGCAGAGAATACAAACAGGGTGTTTCCAAACCGCTCCATCAAAAGAAAGGTTAAAAACTGTGAGTTGAACACACGTCAGAAAGAAATTTCTGTGAATGATTCTCTCTAGATTTTATACGACGTTATTTCCTTTTCTACCATTGGCTTCAAAGCGCTTGAAATCTCCACCTGCAAATTCCATAAAAAGAGTGTTTCACATCTGGTCTGTATAAAGGAAAGTTCAACTCTCTGAGTTGAATACACACACCACAAATAAGTTACTGAGACTTCTTCTATCTAACATTATATGGAGAAATCCCGTTTCCAACGAAGGCCACAAAGAGTTCCAAATATCCACTTGCAGACCTTACAACCAGAGTGTTTCCAAACTGCTCGATGAAGAGAAAGGTTAAACTCTGTGAGTTGAACGCACACATCACAATGTAGTTTCTCAGAATGATTCTGTCTAGTTTTTATACGACGATGTTTCCTTTGCTACCATTGGCCTCAAAGCGCTTGAAATCTCCACCTGCAATTTCCACAAAAAGAGTGTATCAAATCTGCTCTGTCTAAGGAAGGCTCAACTCTGTGAGTTGAATACACACAACACAAAGAAGTTACTGAGAATTCTTCTGTCTAACATTACATGAAGAAAGCCCTTTTCCAACGAAGGCCTCCAAGAGGTCTAAATAAGCACTTGCAGACTTTACAAACAGAGTGTTTCCAAACTGCTTAAGAAAAGAAAGCTTAAACTCTGTGAGTTGAACGTACTCATCACAGTGTAGTTTCTGAGAATGATTCTGTCTAGTTGTTATGCGAAGATATTTCCTTTTCTACCAAAGGGCTCAAAGCGCTTGAAATCTCCACCTACAAATTCCACAAAAAGTGTCTTTCAAATCAGCTCTTTCTAAACTAAGGTTCATCTCTGTGAGTTGAGTACACGCAACACAAAAAGTTCCTGAGAATTCTTCTGTCTAGCATTATATGAAGAAATCCCGTTTCCAACGAAGGCCTCCAAGAGGTCCAAATATCCACTTGCAGGCTTTACAAACAGAGTGTTTCCAAACTGCTCTATGAAAAGAAAGGTTAAACTCTGTGAGTTGAACGCACACACCACAAAGTAGTTTCCGAGAATGATTCTGTCTAGTTTTTATACGAAGATATTTCCTTTTCTACCCTAGGCCTCAAAGTGCTTGAAAACTCCAATTGCAAATTGTACAAAACGATTGTAACATTGGCCTCAAAGAGCTTGAAATCTCCACCTGCAAATTGCACAAAAAGAGTGTTTCAAATCCGCTCTGTCTAAAGGAAGGTTTACCTCTGTGAGTTGAATACACGCAACACAAAGAAGTTACTCAGAATAATTCCGTCTTGCATTATATGAAGAAATCCCGTTTCCAATGAAAGCCTCAAAGAAGTCCAAATAGCCACGTGCAGATATTACAAGCATAGTGTTTCCAAACTGCTCCATGAGCAGAAAGGTGAAACTCTCTGAGTTGAATGCACACATCACAAAGTAGTTTCTGAGAATGATTCTGTCTAGTTTTTATACGAAGATATTTCCTTTTCTTCCCTTTTCCTCTAAGCGCATGAAATCTCCACCTGCAAATTCCACAAAAAGAGTGTGTCAAATCTGCTCTGTCTAAAGGAAGGTTCAACTCTGTGAGTTGAATACACACAACACAAAGAAGTTACTGAGAATTCTTCTGTCTAACATTACATGAAGAAATCCCTTTTTCAACGAGGGCCTCCAAGAGGTCTAAATAAGCACTTGCAGACTTTACAAACAGAGTGTTTCCAAACTGCTCTATGAAAAGAAAGCTTAAACTCTGTGAGTTGAACGCACTCATCACAATGTAGTTTCTGAGAATGATTCTGTCTAGTTGTTATACGAAGATATTTCCTTTTCTACCAAAGGCCTCAAAGCGCCTGAAATCTCCACTACAAATTCCACAAAAAGTGCGGTTCAAATCAGCTCTTTCTAAACTAAGGTGCACCTCTGTGAGTTGAGTACACGCAACACAAAAAGTTACTGAGAATTCTTCTGTGTAGCTTTATATGAAGAAATCCCATTTCCAATGAAGGCCTCAAGGCAGTCAAAACATCCGCTTGCAGACTTTACAAACTGAGTGTTTCCAAACTGCTCTATGAAAAGAAAGGTTATACCCTGTGAGGTGAACGTACACATCACAAAGTAATTTCTCAGAATGATTCTGTCTTGTTTTTATACGACGATATTTCCTTTTGTACCATGGGCCTCAAAGCGCATGAAATCTCCACCTGCAAACTCCACAAAAAGAGTGTATCAAATCTGCTTTGTCTAAAGGAAGGTTCAACTCTGTGAGATGAATACACTCAACACAAAAGTAGTAACTGAGAATTCTTCTGTCTTGCATTATATGAAGAAATGCCGTTTCCAACGAAGGCCTCCAAGAGGTCCAAATATCCACTTGGAGACATTACAAACAGAGTGTTTCCAAACTGCTCTATGAAAAGAAAGTTTAAATTCTGTGAGTCGAACACACTCATCACAACGTAGTTTCTGAGAATGATTCAGTCTAGTTGTTATACGAAGATATTTCCTTTTCTACCAAAGGCATCAAAGCGCCTGAAATCTCCACCTACAAATTCCACAAAAAGTGTGTTTCAAATCATCTCTTTCTAAACTAAGGTTCATCTCTGTGAGTTGAGTACACGCAACACAAAAAGTTACTGAGAATTCTTCTGTCTAGCTTTATATGAAGAAATCCCATTTCCAACGAAGGCCTCAAAGCAGTCAAAATATCCGCTTGCAGACTTTACAAACCGAGTGTTTATAAACTGCTCTATGAAAAGAAAGGTTATACCCTGTGAGGTGAACGTACACATCACAAAGTAATTTCTCAGAATGATTCTGTCTTGTTTTTATACGACGATATTTCCTTTTGTACCATGGACCACAAAGCGCATGAAATCTCCACCACCAAATTCCACAAAAGGAGTGTATCAAATCTGCTTTGTGTAAAGGAAGTTTCAATTCTGTGAGAAGAATACACTCAACACAACAGTAGTTACTGAGAATTCTTCTGTCTTGCATTATATGAAGAAATCCCATTTCCAACGAAGGCCTCCAAGAGGTCCAAATATACACTTCCATACATTACAAACAGAGTGTTTCCAAACAGCTCTATGAAAAGAAAGGTTAAACTCTGCGAGTTCAACGCACACATCACAAAGTAGTTTCTGAGAATGATTCTGCCTAGTTTTTTTACGAAGATATTTCCTTTTCTACCCTTGGCCTCAAAGCACTTGAAAACTCCAACTGCAAATCCTACAAAAAGATTGTAACATTGGCCTCAAAGGGCTTGAAATCTCCACCTGCAAATTCCACAAAAAGAGTGTTTCAAATCTGCTCTGTCTAAAGGAACGTTCAAGTCTGTGAGTTGAATACACACAACACAAAGAAGTTATTGAGAATTCTTCTGTCTAGCTTTGTATGAAGAAATCCCGTTTCCAACGAAGGCCTCAAAGAGGTCCAAATATCCACTTGCAGACATTAAAAACAGAGTGTTTCCAAACTGCTCAGTCAAAAGAAAGGCTAAACTCAGTGAGTTGAATGCACACATCACAAAGTACTTTCTGAGAATGATTCTGTTTAGTGTTTATACGAAGATATTTCCTTTTCTACACTTGGCCTAAAAACGCTTGAAATCTCCACCTGCAAATTTCACAAAAAGAGTTTTTCAAATCTGCTCTGTCTAAAGAAAGGTTCAACTCACTGAGTTGAATACACACAACACAAAGAAGTTGCTGAGAATTCTTCTGTCTGGCATTATATGAAGAAATCCCGTTTCCAACGAAGGCCTGAACGTGGTCCAAATATCCACTTGCAGGCTATACAAACAGAGTGTTTCCAAACTGCTCTATGAAAAGAAAGGTTAAACTCTGTGAGTGGAACGCACACATCACAAAGTCGTTTCTGAAAATGATTCTGTCTACCTTTTCGACGAACATATAACCTTTTCTACCATTGGCCTCAAAGCGCTTGAATTCTCCATCTTCACTTTCCACAAAAAGAGTGTTTGAAATCTGCTCTGGCTAAAGGAAGTTTCAACTCTGTGAGTTGAATACACACAACACAAAGAAGTTACTGAGAATTCTGCTGTCTAGAATTATATGAAGAAAACCCATTTCCACCGAAGGCCTCAAAGAGGTACAAATATCCACTTGCAGACTTTACAGAGTGTTTCCAAATTGCTCTATGAAAAGAAATGTTGAACTCTGTGAGTTGAACGAACACATCTCAGAGTAGTTTCTGAGAATGATTTTGTCTTGTTTTTATACGAAGATATTTCCTTTTCCTTGGCCTCAAAGCCCTTGAAATCCCCACCTGCAAATTCCACTAAAAGAGTGTATCAAATCTGCTCTGTCTAAAGGAAGGTTCAACTCTGTGAGATGAATACACTCAACACAAAGTAGTTATTGAGAAGTTTTCTGTCTAGCATTATATGAAGAAATCCCGTTTCCAACGAAGGCCTCCAAGAGGTCCAAATATCCACTTGCAGGCTTTACAAACAGAGTGTTTCCAAACTGCTCTATGAAAAGAAAGGTTAAACTCTGTGAGTTCAACACACACATCACAAAGTAGTTTCTGAGAATGATACTGCCTAGTTTTTATACGAAGAATTTCCCTTTACTACCCTTGGCCTCCAATCGCTTGAA
>NC_000012.12:37257055-37333222 GCF_000001405.40 Homo sapiens
AGTTACTGAGAATTCTTCTGTCTAGCATTATATGAAGAAATCCCGTTTCCAATGAAGGCCTCCAAGAGGTCCACATATCCACTTACAGGCTTTAGAAACAGAATGTTTCCAAACTGCTCTATGAAAAGAAAGGTTAAACTCTGTGAGTTGAACGCACACACCACAAAGTAGTTTCCGAGAATGATTCTATCTAGTTTTTATACGAAGATACTTCCTTTTCTACCCTGGGCCTCAAAGCGCTTGAAAACTCCAATTGCAAATTCTACAAAACGATTGTAACATTGGCCTCAAAGAGCTTGAAATCTCCACCTGCAAATTCCACAAAAAGAGTGTTTCAAATCCGCTCTGTCTAAAGGAAGGTTCACCTCTGTGAGTTGAATACACGCAACACAAAGAAGTTACTCAGAATTCTTCCATCTTGCATTATATGAAGAAATCCCGTTTCCAATGAAAGCTTCAAAGAAGTCCAAATAGCCACTTTCAGATTTTACAAGCATAGTGTTTCCAAACTGCTCTATGAAAAGAAAGTTGAAACTGTCTGAGTTGAACGCACACATCACAAAGTAGTTTCTGAGAATGATTCTCTCTACCTTTTCGACGAAGATATATCCTGTTCTACCATTGGCTTCAAAGCGCTTGAATTCTCCATCTTCACATTCCACAAAATGAGTGTTTCAAATCCGCTCTGTCTAAAGGAACTTTCAAGTCTGTGAGTTGAATACGCACAACACAAAGAAGTTATTGAGAATTCTTCTGTCTAGCTTTGTATGAAGAAATCTCGTTTCCAACGAAGGCCTCAAAGAGGTCCAAATATCCACTTGCAGACTTTACAGAGTGTTTCGAAATTGCTCTATGAAAAGAAATGTTGAACTCTGTGAGTTGAACGAACACATCTCAAAGTAGTTTCTGAGAATGATTCTGTCTTGTTTTTATACGAAGATATTTCCTTTTCTACCAAAGGCCTCAAAGCGCCTGAAATCTCCACCTACAAATTCCACAAAAAGTGTGTTTCAATTCAGCTCTTTCTAAACTAAGGTTCATCTCTGTGAGTTGAGTACACGCAACACAAAAAGTTACTGAGAATTCTTCTGTCTAGCTTTATATGAAGAAATCCCATTTCCAACGAAGGCCTCAGAGGGGTCAAAATATCCACTTGCAGACATTACAAACCGAGTGTTTCCAAACTGCTCTATGAAAAGAAAGGTTATACCCTGTGAGGTGAACGTACACATCACAACGTAATTTCTCAGAATGATTCTGTCTTGTTTTTGTACGATGATATTTCCTTTTGTACCATGGGCCTCAAAGCGCATGAAATCTCCACCTGCAAATTCCACAAAAAGAGTGTATCAAATCTGCTTTGTCTAAAGGAAGGTTCAACTCTGTGAGATGAATACACTCAACACAAAGTAGTTCCTGAGAATTCTTCTGTCTTGCATTATATGAAGAAATCCCATTTCCAACGAAGGCCCCCAAGAGGTCTGAATATCCTCTTGCAGACATTACAATCAGAGTGTTTCCAAACTGCTCTATGAAAAGAAAGGTTAAACTCTGTGAGTTGAACGCACACATCACAATGTAGTTTCTGAGAATGATTCTGTCTAGTTTTTATACGAAGGTATTTCCTTTTCTACCCTTGGCCTCAAAGCGCTTGAAAACTCCAATTGCAAATTCTACAAAAGGATTGTAACATTGGCCTCAAAGAGCTTGAAATCTCCAACTGCAAATTCCACAAAAAGAGTGTTTCAAATCCGCTCTGTCTAAAGGAAGGTTCACTTCTGTAAGTTGAATATATGCAACACAAAGAAGTTACTCAGAATTCTTCCGTCTTGCATTATATGAAGAAATCCCGTTTCCAATGAAAGCCTCAAAGAAGTCCAAATAGCCACTTGCGGATTTTACAAGCATAGTGTTTCCAAACTGCTCTATGAAAAGAAAGGTGAAACTCTCTGAGTTGAACGCACACATCACAAAGTAGTTTCTGAGAATGATTCTGGCTAGTTTTTATACGAAGATATTTCCTTTTCTTCCCTTTTCCTCAAAGCGCATGAAATCTAAACCTGCAAATTCCACAAAAAGAGTGTATCAAATCTGCTCTGTCTAAAGGAAGGTTCAACTCTGTGAGTTGAATACACACAACACAAAGAAGTTACTGAGAATTCTTCTGTCCAACATTACATGAAGAAATCCCTTTTCCAAAGAGGGCCTCCAAGAGGTCTAAATAAGCACTTGCAGACTTTACCAACAGAGTGTTTCCAAACTGCTCTATGAAAAGAAACCTTAAACTCTGTGAGTGGAACACACTCATCACAATGTAGTTTCTGAGAATGATTCTGTCTAGTTCTTATACGAAGATATTTCCTTTTCTACCAAAGGCCTCAAAGCGCCTGAAATCTCCACCTACAAATTCCACAAAAAGTGTGCTTCATATCAGCTCTTTCTAAACTAATGTTCATCTCTGTGAGTTGAGTACATGCAACACAAAAAGTTGCTGAGAATTCTTCTGTCTAGCTTTATATGAAGAAATCCCATTTCCAACAAAGGCCTCAGAGCGGTCAAAATATCCACTTGCAGACTTTACAAACCGAGTGTTTCCAAACTGCTCTATGAAAAGAAAGGTTATACCCTGTGAGGTGAACGTACACATCACAAAGTAATTTCTCAGAATGATTCAGTCTTGTTTTTATACGACTACATTTCCTTTTGTACCATGGGCCTCAAAGGGCATGAAATCTCCACCTGCAAATTCCACAAAAAGAGTGTATCAAATCTGCTTTGACTAAAGGAAGGTTCAACTCTGTGAGATGAATACACTCAACACTAAGTAGTTACTGAGAATTCTTCTGTCTTGCATTATATGAAGAAATCCCGTTTCCAACGAAGGCCTCCAAGAGGTCCAAATATCCACATGCAGACATTACAAACAGAGTGTTTCCAAACTGCTCTATGAAAAGAAAGGTTAAACTCTGTGAGTTCAACGCACCCATCACAAAGTAGTTTCTGAGAATGATTCTGCCTAGTTTTTATACGAAGATATTTCCTTTTCTACTCTTGGCCTCAAAGTGCTTGAAATCTCCACCTGCAAATTTCACAAAAAGAGTGTTTCAAATCTGCTCTGTCTAAAGGAAGGTTCAACTCACTGAGTTGAATACACACAACACAAAGAAGTTACTGAGAATTCTTCTGTCTGGCATTATATGAAGAAATCCCGTTTCCAATGAAGGCCTGAAAGTGGTCCAAATATCCACTTGCAGGCTTTACAAACAGAGTGTTTCCAAACTGCTCTATGAAAAGAAAGGTTAAACTCTGTGAGTTGAACTCACACATCACAAAGTAGTTTCTGAAAATGATTCTGTCTACCTTTTCGACGAAGATATATCCTTTTCAACCATTGGCCTCAAAGCGTTTGAATTCTCCACCTTTACATTCCACAAAAAGAGTGTTTGAAATCTGCTCTGTCTAAAGGAAGTTTCAACTCTGTGAGTTGAATACACACAACACAAAGAAGTTACTGAAAATTCTGCTGTCTAGAATTATATGAAGAAATCCCGTTTCCAACGAAGGCCTCAAAGAGGTCCAAATATCCACTTGCAGACTTTACAGAGTGTTTCCAAGTTGCTCTATGAAAAGAAATGTTGAACTCTGTCAGTTGAACGAACACATCTCAAAGTAGTTTCTGAGAATGATTCTGTCTAGTTTTTATACGAAGATATTTCCTTTTCCATGGCCTCAAAGCCCTTGAAATCTCCACCTGCAAGTTCCACAAAAAGAGTGTATCAAATCTGCTCTGTCTAAAGGAAGGTTCAACTCTGTGAGATGAATACGCACAACACAAAGTAGTTACTGAGAATTCTTCTGTCTAGCATTATATGAAGAAATCCCGTTTCCAACGAAGGCCTCCAAGAGGTCCAAATATCCACTTGCAGGCTTTACAAACAGAGTGTTTCCAAACTGCTCTATGAAAAGAAAGGTTAAACTCTGTGAGTTGAACGCACCCATCACAAAGTAGTTTCTGAGAATGATTCTGTCTAGTTTTTATACGAAGATATTTCCTTTTCAAACCTTGGCATCCAATCACTTCAAATCTCCACCTGTAAATTCCACAACAGGAGTGTAAAATATCTGCTAAGTCTAAAGGAAAGTTCACCTCTGTGAGATGAATACACACAACACAAAGAAGTTCCTGAGAATTCTTCTGTCTAACATTATATGAAGAAATCCCGTTTCCAATGAAAGCCTCAAAGAAGTCCAAATATCCACTTGCAGATTTTACAAACATAGTGTTTCCAAACTGCTCTATGAAAAGAAAGGTGAAACTCTCTGAGCTGAACGCACCCATCACAAAGTAGTTTCTGAGAATGATTCTGTCTAGATTTTTTACGAAGATAATTCCTTTTCTACCCTTGGCCTCAATGCGCTTGAAATCTCCACCTGCATATTCCACAAAAAGTGTGTTTCAAATCTACTCTGTCTAAAGGAAGGTTCAACTCTGTGAGTGGAATACACACAACACAAAGAAGTTACTGAGAATTCTTCTGTCTAGCATTATATGAAGAAATCCCGTTTCCAACGAAGGCCTCCAAGAGGTAAAAATATCCACTTAAAGACTTTACAAACAGAGTGTTTCCAAATTGCTCCATGAAAAGAAAGGTTAAACTCTGTGAGTTGAACGCACACATCACATGGTAGTTTCTGAGAATGATTCTGTCTAGTTTTCATGAGAAGATATTTCCTTTTCTACCATTGGACACAAATCACTTGACATCTCCAACTGCAAATTCCACAAAGAGAGTGTATCAAATCTCCTCTGTCTAAGGGAAGGTTGAACTCTGTGAGTTGAATACCCACAACACAAAGAAGTTCCTGAGAATTCTTTTGTCTAACATTATATGAAGAAATCCCGTTTCCAACCAAGGCCTTAAGGAGGTCCAAATATCCATTTGCAGACTTCACAAAGAGAGTGTTTCCAAACTGCTCTACGAAAAAGAAGGTTAAACTCTGTGTGTTGAAAGGACACATTACAAAGTAGTTTCGGAGAATGATTCTATTTGGATTTTATACGAGGATATGTCCTTTTCTACCCTTGGCCTCAAAGCACTTGAAATCTCCACCTGCAAATTCCAGAAAAAGAGTGTTTCAAATCTGCTCGGTCTAAAGAAGGTTCAACCCTGTGAGTTGAATACACACAACAGAAATAAGTTCCTGAGAATTCTTCTGTCTAACATTATATGAAGAAATCCCATTTCCAACGAAGGCCTCAAAGGGTTCCAAATATCCACTTCCAGACTTTACAAAGAGAGGGTTTCCAAACTGCTCTATGAAAAAAAAGGTTAAACTCTGTGAGTTGAATGCACAAATCACAAAGTGGTTTCTGAGAATGAATCTGTCTAGGTTTCATTGGAAGATATTTCCTTTTGTACACTTGGCCTCAAATGCTTGAAATCTCCACGTGCAAATTCCACAAAATGAGTGTATCAAATCTCCTCTGTCTAAAGGAAGGTTCAAATCTGTGAGTATAATACACACAACACGAAGAACTTACTGAGAATTCTTCTGTCTAGCATTATATGAAGAAATCCCGTTTCCAACGAAGGCCTCAAAGAGGTCCAAATATCCACTTGCAGACTTTACAGAGGCTTTCCAAACTGCTCTATGAAAAGAAAGGTTAAACTCTGTGAGTTGAACGCAGAGATCACAAAGGAGTTTCGGATAATGATTCTCTCTAGTTTTTATACGAAGAAATTTCCTTTTCTACCATTGGCCTCAAAGCGCTTGAAACCTCCACCTGAAATTCCACAATAAGAGTGTCTCAAATGTGCTCCGTCTAAAGAAAGGTTCAACTCAGTGAGTTGAGTCGACACCACACAAAGAAGTTACTGAGAATTCTTCTGTCTAGCATTATATGAAGAAATCCCATTTCCAAAGAAGGCCTGAAAGAGGTTGAAATATCCATTTGCAGACTTTACAGAGTGTTTCCAAACTGCTCAATGAAAAGAAAGGTTACACTCTGTGAGTTCAACGCACACATCAGAAAGTAATTTCTGAGAATGATTCTGTCTAGTTTTTATACGAAGATATTTCCTTTTCTACCCTTGGCCTCAAAACGCTTGAAATCTCCAACTGCAAATTTCACCAGAAGAGTGTATCAAATCTGCTCTGTCTAAAGGAAGGTTGAACTCTCTGAGTTGAATACACACAACACAAAGAAGTTACTGAGAATTCTTCTGACTAGCATTTTATGAAGATATCCCGTTTCCACCGGAGGCCTCCAAGAGGTCAAAATATCCACTTGAAGACTTCACAAACAGAGTTTCTCCAACTACTCCATGAAAAGAAAGGTTAAACTCTGTGAGTTTAGCACGCACATCACAATCATCACAATGTAGTTTCTGAGAATGATTCAGTCTAGTTGTTATAAGAAGATATTTCCTTTTCTACCATTGGCCTCAAAGCGCTTGAAATCTCCACCTGCAAATTCCACAAAAAGTGTGTATCAAATCTGCTCTGTCTAAAGGAAGGTTCAACTCTGTGAGTGGAATACACACAACACAAAGAAGTTTCTGAGAATTCTTCTCTCTAGCATTATATGAAGAAATCCCGTTTCCAACGAATGCCTCTAAGAGGTCCAAATATCCTCTTGCAGACTTTACAAACAGAGTGTTTCCAAACTGCTCTATGAAAAGAAAGGTTAAACTCTGTGAGTTGAACGCACACATCACAAAGTAGTTTCTGAGAATGATTCTGTCTAGTTTTTATACGAAGATATTTCCCTTTCTACATTTGGCCTCAAAGCGCTTGAAATCTCGACCTGCGAATTTCACAAAAAGAGAGTTTCGAAATATTCTGTCAAAAGGAAGGTTCAACTCTGTGAGTTGAATACACACAACACAAAGAAGTTACTGAGAGTACTTCTGTCTAGCATTATATGAAGAAATCCTATTTCCAACGAAGACCTCCAAGAGGTCCAAATATCCACTTGCAGACACTACAAAGAGAGTTTCCAAACTGCTCTATGAAAAGAAAGATTAAACTCTGCTAGTTGAATGCACACATCACAAATTAGTTTCTAAGCATGATTCTGTCTAGTTTTAATACGAAGATATTTCCTTTTCAAACATTGGCATCCAATCACTTCAAATCTCCACCTGCAAATTCCACAAAAGGAGTGTAAAAAATCTGCTACTTCTAAAGGAAGGTTCAACTCTGTGAGATGAATACACACAACACAAAGAAGTTCCTGAGAATTCTTCTGTCTAACATTATATGAAGAAATCCCGTTTCCAAGGAAGGCCTCAAAGAGTTCCCAATATCCACTTGCAGACTTACAAATAGAGTGTTTCCAAACTGCTCAATGAAAAGAAAGGTTAAACTCTGTGAGTTGAACGCACACATCACCAAGTAGTTTCTGAGAAGGATTCTGTCTTGATTTTCTACGAAGATATTTCCTTTTCTACCATTGGCCTAAAAGCGCTTGAAATCTCCACCTACAAATTCCACAAAATGATTGTATCAAATCTCCTCTGTCTAAAGGAAGTTTCAAATCCGTGAGTGGAATACACACAACACGAAGAAGTTACTGAGAATTCTTCTGTCTAGCATTATATGAAGAAATCCCGTTTCGAACGAAGGCCTCAAAGAGGTCCAAATATCCACTTGCAGACTTTACAAACAGAGTGTTGCCAAACTGCTCTATGAAAAGAAAGGTTAAACTCTGTGAGCTGAACGCACACATCACAAAGTCGTTTCTGAGAATGATTCTGTCTAGTTTTTAAATGAAGATACTTCCTTTTCTACCCGTGCACTCAAATCGCTTGACATCTCCCACTGCAAATTCTACAAAGAGAGTGTATCAAATCTCCTCTGTCTAAAGGAAGGTTCAACTCTGTGAGTTGAATACACACAACACAAAGAAGTTACTGAGAATTCTTCTGTCTAGCATTATATGAAGAAATCCCGTTTCCAACGAAGGCCTCAAAGAATTCCAAATATCCACTTGCAGACTTTACACTGTGTTTCCAAACTGCACTATGAAAAGAAAGTTTAAACTCTGTGAGTTGAACGCACACATCTCAAAGTCGTTTCTGAGAATGATTCTGTCTAGTTTTCAAACGAAGATATTTCCTTTTCTACCAATGGCCTCAAAGCGCTTGATATCTCCACCTGAAAATTCAACAAAAAGAGTGTATCCAATCTGCTCTGTCTAAAGGAAGGTTCAACTCTGTGAGTGGAATACACACAACACAAAGAAGTTACTGAGGATTCCTCTGTGTAGCCTTACATGAAGAAATCCCGTTTCCAACGAAGGCCTCAAAGAGGTCCAAATATCCACTTGAAGACTTTACAAACATAGTGTTTCCAAACTGCTCTATGAAAACAAAGGTTAAACTCTGTGAGTTGAACGCACACATCACAAAGCAGTTTCTGAGAATGATTCTGTCTAGTTTTTATACGAAGATATTTCCTTTTCTACCATTGGCCTCAAAGCGCTTTAAATCTCCACCTGCAAATTCCACAGAAAGTGTGTTTCAAATCTGCTCTGTCTAAAGGAAGGTTCAACTCTGTAAGTTGAATACACGCAACACAAAGAAGTTACTGAGAATTCTTCTGTCCAACATTATATGAAGAAATCCCGTTTCTTACTACGGCCTCTGAGAGGTCCAAATATCCCCTTGCAGACTTTACATACAGAGTGTTTCCAAACTACTCTGTGAAAAGAAAAGTTAAACTCTGTGAGTTGAACGCACACATCACAACGTATTTTCTGAGAATGATTCTGTCTAGTTTTTATATGAAGATATTTCCTTTTCTACCCTTGGCCTCAAAGCTTTTGAAATCTCCACTTGCAAGTTCCACAAAAACAGAGTATCAAATCTGCTCTGTCTAAAGGAAGGTTCAACTCTTTGAGCGGAATATGCACAACACAAAGATGTTACTGATGATTCTTCTGTCTACCATTATATAAAGAAATCTCGTTTCCAACGAAGGCCTCTAAGAGTTCCAAATATACTCTTGCAGAATTTACAAACAGTGTGTTTCTAAACTGCTCAATCAAAGGAAAGGTTAAACTCTGTGAATTGAATGTACACATCACAAAGTAGTTTCTGAGAAGTATGCTGTACAGTTTTCCTACGTAGATATTTCCTTTTCTACCATTGGCCTCAAAGCACTTGAAATCTCCAGCTGCAAATTCCACAAAAAGGGTTTTTCAAATCTGCTCTGTCTAAACTAAGGTGCAACTCTGTGAGTTGAATACACAGAACAGAAAGAAGTTACTGAGAATTCTTCTGTCTAGCATTATATGAAGAAATCCCTTTTCCAACGAAGGCCTCAAAAGTTCCAAATATCCACTTGCAGACTTTACAAACAGAGTGTTTCTAAACTGTTCTATGAAAAGAAAGACTAAACTCTGTGAGTTGAATGCACACATCACAAAGTAGTTTCTGGTAATGGTTCTGTCTAGTTTTATACAAAGATTTTTCCTTTTCTATCCTTGGCCTCAAAGTGCTTGAAATCTCCACCTGCAAATTCCACAAAAAGAGTGTATCAAATCTGCTCTGTCTAAAGGAATGTTCAACTCTGTGAGTTGAATACACACAACACAAAGAAGTTACTGAGAATACTTCTGTCTAGCATTATATGAAGAAATCCCGTTTCCAACGAAGTCCTCCAAGAGGTCAAAATATCCACTTGCAGACCTTACAAACAGAGTGTTTCCAAACTGCTCTATGAAAAGAAAGGTTAAACTCTGTGAGTTGAACGCACACAACACAAAGTACTTTCTGAGAATGATTCTGTCTAGTTTTTATACGAAGATATTTCCTTTTCTACCATTGGCCTCATTGCCCTTGAAATCTCCAATTGCAACTTCCAGCAAAAGAGTGTTTCAAATCTGCTGTGTCTAAAGGAAGGTTCATCTCTGTGAGTTGAATACCGGCAACACAAAGAAGTTACTGAGAATTCTTCTGTCTAGCATTATACGAAGAAATCCCATTTCCAACGAAGGTCTCAAAGAGTTGCAAATATCCACTTGCAGACTTTACAAACAGATTGTTTCCAACCTGCTCTATGAAAAGCAGGGTTAAACTGTGTGAGTTGAATGCACACATCACATAGTAGTTTCTCAGAATGATTCTTTCTAGATTTTATGC
The DNA here is from genome assembly GCF_000001405.40 of Homo sapiens. Classification (NCBI taxonomy): domain Eukaryota; kingdom Metazoa; phylum Chordata; class Mammalia; order Primates; family Hominidae; genus Homo; species Homo sapiens. The sequence goes on from NC_000012.12 coordinate 37,267,204, forward strand.
GAAGATATTTCCTTTTCTACACTTGGCCACAAAGTGCTTGAAATCTCCACCTGCAAATTCTCGAAAAAGAGTGTTTCAAGTATGCTCTGTCTAAAGGAAGGTTCACCTCTGTGAATTGCCTGCACGCAACACAAAGAAGTTACTGAGAATTCTTCTGTCTAGCATTTTATGAAGAAATCCCGTTTCCAACGAAGGCCTCAAAGAGGTCCAAATATTCACTTGCAGACTTTACAAACAGAGCGTTTCCAAACTGGTCTATGAAAAGAATTGTTGACCTCTGTGAGTTGAACCCACACATCACAAATTAGTTTCTGAGAAAGATTCTGTCTTGTTGTTATATGAAGATATTTCGTTTTCTAACATTGGCTTCAAAGCGCTTGAAATCTCCACCTGCAAATTCCACAAAAAGAGTGTATCAAATCTGCTCTGTGTAAAGGAAGGTTCATGTCTGTGTGTTGCATACACGCAGCACAAAGAAGTTTCTCAGAATTCTTCTGTCTAGTTTTTTTTTTAATTTTTAATGCATTTATATTTAATATACTAAAATAATTGGTGCATCTAACAATTAAGAAGCAGTTAGTATGAAACAATATTTGGCTATGGGCCAGGTTAGCTGAGTTAATTGCAAAATTGTGGGGAATCACATTTTCCTGTGATACGTTTTCCTTCTATGTGAATTTTTCTTTTTTTTTTCTTTTTGACTTTTTTTTATTATACTTTAAGTTTTATGGTACATGTGCACATTCTGCAGGTTAGTTACATATGTATACATGTGCCATGCTGTTGCACTGCACCCACTAACTCGTCATCTAGCATTCTGTCTAGTTTTATATGAGAAATCCCGTTTCCAGCGAATGCCTCAAAGAGGTCCAAATATCCCTTGCAGACTTTACAAACGGAGTGTTTTAAATCTGCTGTATCAAAAGAAAGGTTAAACGCTGTGAGTTGAACGCACACATCACAAAGTAGTTTCTGAGAATGAATCGGTCTAGTTTTCATGGGAAGATATTTCCTTTTTCTACCTCAGGCCTCAAAGCGCTTCCAATATCCACTTGGAAATTCTAAAAAAAGACGTTTTCAAAACTACTCTATTGAAAGGAATATTCAAGTTGAAGACACACATCACATAGAAGCTTCTGAGAATTCTTCTGTCTAGTTTTCTATGAAGAAATCCCGTTTCCAACGAAGGCCTCAAGGAGGCCCAATTATCCACTTGAAGATTCTACAAATATATTGTTTCCAAACTGCTCTATCAAAAGGAATGTTGAACTCTGTGAGTTGAACGCAAAGATCACAACGTGGTTTCTGAGAATGCTACTGTCTAGTTTTTGTGTGAAGGTATTTCCTTTTCTACAATAGGCCCCAAAGCCCTCTAAATACCCGCTTGCAAATTCTACAAAAAGGGTGTTACAAAACTGCTCTATCAAAAGAAACGTTAAACTCTGTGATTTGAACGCACACATCACAAAGCTGTTTCTGAGAAGGATTCTGTCTAGTTTTTACATGAAGAAATTTCGTTTTCTACCATAGGCGTCGATGCACTCTAAATATGCACTGGGAATTTCTACAAAAAAAGTTTCAAAACTGCTCTATCGAAAGGAAGGTTCAACTCTGTGAGTTGAATGCACACATCACAAAGTTGTTTCTCAGAAGGATTCTGTCTAATTATTATATGAGGATATTTCATTTTCTACCATAGGCATGCAAGCACTCTAAATATGCACTTGGAAATTCTACAAAAAGAGTGTTTCAAAACTGGTCCTTCAAAGGAAGTTTCAACTCTGTGAGTTGAATACACACATCACAAAGAAGTTTCCCAAAATTCTTCTCTCTATTTGTATATGTAGAAGTCCCATTTCCAACGAATGCCTCAAAGAGGTCCAAATATCCACTTGCAGACTTTACAAACAGAGTGTTTCAAACCTGCTCTATGAAAACAAAGTTTAAACTCTGTGAGATGAACGCGCCTATCACAAAGTAGTTTCTGAGAGTGCTTCTGTCTAGTTGTTATATGAAGACATTTCCTTTACTACCATAGGCCCATAAGCCCTTTAAATATCCACTTGCAAATTTCACAAAAAGACTGTTTCAAACCTGCTCTCTGAAAAGAAATGTTTAACTCTGTGAGTTGAAAGCACACATCTCAAAGTGGTTTCTGAGAATGAGTCTGTCTAGTTCTTACATGAAAATATTTCGTTTTCTACTGTCAGCTTCAAAGCACTCCAATTATGCACATGGAAATTCTACAAAAAGAGTGTTTCAAAACTGCTCTATCGAAAGGGAGGTTCTACTCTGTGAGTTGAATACACACATCACAAAGAAGTTTCTCAAAATTCTTCTCTCTAGTTGTATATGTAGAAATCCCGTTTCCAACGAATGCCTCAAAGAGGTCCAAATATCCACCAGCAGACTTTACAAACAGAGTGTTTCAAAACTGCTCTATCAAAAGAAAGGTTCAACTGTGTGAGTTGAACGCGCCCATCACAAATTAGTTTCTGAGAGTGCTTCTGTCTAGTTGTTATATGAAGATATTTCCTTTTTTACCGTAGGCCCAAAAGCCCTTTAAATATCCACTTCCAAATTTCACAAAAAGAACGTTTCAAACCTGCTCTCTCAAAAGAAAGGTTAAACACCATGAGTTGAAGGCACACATCACAAAGTTGTTTCTGACAATGAGTCTGTGTAGTTCTTATATTAAGATATTTCGTTTTCTAACGTTGGCTTCAAGGCACTCCTAATATGCACTTGGAAATTCTACAAAAAGAGTGTTTCAAAATTGCTCTATCAAAAGGAGGTTTTAACTCTGTGAGTTGAATGCACACTTCCCAAAGAAGTGTCTCAGAATTCTTCTGTCTAGTTTTCTATGAAAAATCCCGTTTCCAACGAATTCCTCAAAGAGGTCCAAATATCCACTTGCAGACTTGACAGAGTGTTTCAAATCTGCTCTATCAAAAGAAAGGTTCAACTCTGTGAGTTGAACGTGCCCATCACAAAGTAGTTTCTGAGAGTGCTTCTGTCTAGTTGTTATATGAAGATATTTCCTTTTCTACCGTAGGCCCAAAAGCCCTTTAAGTATCCACTTGCAAATTTCACAAGAAGACTGTTTCAAACCTGCTCTCTCAAAAGAAAGGTTAAACTCTTTGAGTTGAACGCACACATCACAAAGTGGTTTCTGAGAATGAGTCTGTCTAGATCTTATATGAAGATATTTTGTTTTCTACCGTCGGCTTCAAAGCTCTCCAAATATGCACTTGGAAATTCTGCAAAAAGAGTGTTTCGAAACTGCTCTATGAAAAGGAAGGTTCATCTCTGTGAGTTGAATACACACATCACAAAGAAGTTTCTCAAAATTCTTCTCTCTAGTTGTATATGTAGAAATCCCGTTTCCAACGAATGCATCAAAGAGGTCCAAATATACACCTGCAGACTTTACAAGCAGAGTGTTTCAAAACTGCTCTATCAAAAGAAAGGTTCAACTGTGTGAGTTGAATGCGCCCATCAAAATGTAGTTTCTGAGAGTGCTTCTGTCTAGTTGTTACATGAAAATGTTTCCTTTTCTACCGTAGGCCCCAAGCCCTTGAAATATCCATTTGCAAATTTCACAGACTGTTTCAAACCTGCTCTCTCAAAAGAAAGGTTAAACTCTATGAATTGAACGCATAGATCACAAAGTTGTTTCTGAGAATGAGTCTGTCTAGTTCTTATAAGAAGATATTTCGTTTTCTACCGTCAGCTTCAAAGCACTTCAAGTATGCACTTGGAAATTCTACAAAAAGAGTGTTTCAAAACTGCTCTATCAAAAGGAGAGTTTAACTCTGTGAGTTGAATGCACACATCCCAAAGAAGTGTCTCAGAAATCTTCTGTCTAGTTTTATATGAAAAATCCCGTTTTGAATCACTCTGTTTGTAAAGTCTGCAGGTGGATATTTGGACGTCTTTGAGGCATTCGTTGGAAATGGGATTTCTCATATAAAACTAGACAGAAGATTTCTGAGACACTTCCTTGGGATGCGTGCATTCAACTCACAGAGTTAAACCCTCCTTTTGCTAGAGTAGTTTTGAAACACTCTTTTTGTAGAATTTCCAAGTTAATATTTAGAGTGTTTGGAAGACTATGGTAGAAAACGATATATCTTCATATAAAAACTAGACAGAATCCTTCTCAGAAACAATTTTGTGATGTGTGCATTGAACTCACAGAGTTTAACGTTTCTTTTGGTAGAGCAGTTTTGTCACACCCTTTTTGTAGAATTTGTGAGTGGGTATTTAGAGGGCTTTGGGGCCTATTGTAGAAAAGGAAATAGCTTGACATAAAAACTAGACAGTAGCATGCTCAGAAACTACATTGTGATGTTTGCATTCAACTAAGAGGTCAACATTCCTTTTGATAGAGCAGTTTGGAAACAATATTTTTGTAGAATCTTCAAGTGGATATTTGTACCTCCTTGAGGCTTTCGTTGGAAACGGGATTTCTTCATAGAAAACTAGATAGAAGAATTCTCAGAAGCTTCTTTGTGATGTGTGTCTTTAACTCACAGAATTGAATATTCCTTTCTGTAGAGTAGTTTTGAAACCCTCTTTTCTGAGAATTTCCAAGTGGATATTGGAAGTGCTTTGAGGACTCTCGTAGAAAAGGATATATCTTCACATAAAACTACACAGATTCATTCTCAGAAACTACTTTGTGATGTGTGTGTTCAACTCACCGAGTTTAAACTTTCTTTTGATAGAGCAGATTTGAAACACTCTGTTTGTAAAGTCTGCATGGGGATATTTACTCCTCTTTGAGGCATTCGTTGGAAACGGGATTTTTCATATAAAATTAGGTAGAAGAATTGTGAGAAACTTCTTTGGGATGTGTGCATTCAACTCACAGAGTTAAACCCTCCTTTTGATAGAGCAGTTTTGAAACACTCTTTTTGAGAATTTCCAAGTGCATGTTTGGAGTGCTTTGAAGCCGATGGTAGAAAACCAAATATCTTCACATAAGAACTACACGGACTCATTCTCAGAAACCACTTTGTGATGTGTGTATTCAACTCACAGAGTTTAACCTTTCCTTTGAGAGAGCAGGTTTGAAACAGTCTTTTTGTGAAATTTGCAAGTGGATATTTAAAAGGCTTTGGTGCCTTTGGTAAAAAAGGAAATATCTTCATATAACAACTAGAAAGAAGCACTCTCAGAAACTATATTGTGATGGGTGCGTTCAAGTCACACAGTTGAACCTCTCTTTTGATAGAGTAGTTTTGAAGCACTCTGTTTGTAAAGTCTGCAGGTGGATATTTGAACGTCTTTGAGGCATTCATTGGAAACGGGATTTCTACATATACAACTACAGAGAAGAATTTTGAGAAACTTCTTTGTGATGTGTGTATTAAGCTCACAGAGTTGAAGCTTCCTTTCAATGGAGCAGTTTTGAAACACTCTTTTTGTAGAATTTCCAAGTGCATATTTAGAGTTCTTGGAAGCCTAAGGTAGAAAACGCAATATCTTCATATCCCAACTAGACAGAATCCTTCTCAGAAAAATCTTCGTGATGTGTGAGTTCAACTCACAGAGTTTAACGTTTCCTTAGATAGAGCGCTCTTGTAACACCCTTTTTGTAGAATTTGCAAGCGGGTATTTAGAGGGCTTTGGGGCCTATTGTAGAAAAGGAAATACCTTCACATAAAAACTAGACTGTAGCATTTTCAGAAACTACATTGTGATGTTTGCATTCAACTTACAGAGTTCAACATTCCTTTTGATAGAGCAGTTTGGAAAGAATATTTTTGTAGAATCTTCAAGTGGATATTTGGCCCTACTTGAGGCCTTCGTTGGAAACGGGATTTCTTAATAGAAAACTAGACAGAAGAATTCTCAGAAGCTTCTTTGTGATGTGTGTCTTCAACTTACAGAGTTGAATATTCCCTTCAATAGAGTAGTTTTGAAACCGTCTTTTTTTAGAATTTCCAAGTGGATATTGGAAGCGCTTTGAGGCCTGTGGTAGAAAAGGAAATATCTTCACGTAAAAACTAGACAGATTCATTCTCAGAAACTACTTTGTGATGTGTGCGTTCAACTCACAGAGTTAAACACTCCTTTTTATAGAGCAGTTTTGAAACACTCTTTTTGTAGGCTTTCCAAATGCATATTTAGAGTGCTTTGAAGTCAACGGTAGAAAACCAAATATCTTCATGTAAGAACTAGACAGACTCATTCTCAGAAACCACTTTGTGATGTGTGCATTCAACTCAAAGAGTTTAACCTTTCTTTTGATAGAGCAGTTTTGAAACACTATGTTTTTAAAGTCTGCAAGTGAATATTTGGACCTCCTTGAGGCATACGTTGGAAAGGGTATTTTTCATATAAAACTAGACAGAAGAATTCTGAGGACCTTCTTTCTGGTGTGTGCATTCAACTCACAGAGTTAAACCCTCCTTTAGATAGAGCAGTTTTGAAACACTCTTTTTGTAGTATTTCTAAGTGCATATTTAGAATGCTTTGAAGCCGACGGTAGAAAACCAAATATCTTCATATAAGAACTAGACAGACTCATTCTCAGAAACCACTTTGTGATGTGTGCATTCAACTCACAGAGTTTAACGTTTCTTTTGATAGAGCAGATTTGAAACATTCTGTTTGTAAAGTCTGCAAGTGGATATTTGGACATCTTTGTGGCATTCGTTTGAAAGGGTATTTCTCATATAAAACTGGACAGAAGAATTCTGAGAAACTTCTTTGGGATGTGTGCATTCAACTCAAAGGGTTAAACCCTCCTTTTGATAGAGCAGTTTTGAAACACTCTTTTTTTTGAATTTCTAAGTGCATATTTGGAGTGCTTTGAAGCCAACGGTAGAAAAACAAATATCTTCATATAACAACTAGACAGAATCATTCTCAGATACCACTTTGTGATGTGTGCGTTCAACTCACAGAGTTTAACCTTTCTTTTGGGAGAGCAGGTTTGAAACAGTCTTTTTGTGAAATTTGCAACTGGATATTTAAAGGGCTTATGGCCTATAGTAGAAAAGGAAATATCTTGATATATCAACTAGTCAGAATCACTCTCAGAAACTACATTGTGATGGGCGCATGCAACTCACACAGTTGAACCTTTCTTTTGATAGAGCAGTTTTGAAACACTCTGTTTGTAAATTCTGCAGGTGGATATTTGGACCTCTTTGATGCATTCGTTGGAAATGGGTTTCTACAAATACAACTAGAGCGAAGAATTTTGAGAAACTTCTTTGTGATGTATGTATTCAACTCACAGAGTTGAACCTTCCTTTCGAGAGAGCAGTTTCAAAACAATCTTTTTGTAGAATTTCCAAGTGCATATTTAGAGTGCTTCGAAGCCTATGGTAGAAAACGAAATATCTTCATATAAAAACTAGACAGAATCCTTCTCAGAAACAACTTTGTGATGTGTGCTTGACTCACAGAATTTAACGTTTCTTTTGATAGAGCAGTTTTGTAACACCCTTTTTGTAGAATTTGCAAGCGGGTATTTACAGGGCTTTGGGGCCTATTGCTGAAAAGGAAATACATTAACATAAAAAGTAGACAGTAAGATTCTAAGCAACTACATTGTGATGTTTACATTCAACTCACAGAGTTCAATGATCCTTTTGATAGAGCAGTTTGGAAAGAATATTTTTGTAGAATTTTCAAGTGGATATTTGGACCTCCTTGAGGCCTTCGTTGGAAACGGGATTTCTTCATAGAAAACTAGACAGAAGAATTCTCAGAATCTTCTTTGTGATGTGTGTCTTCAACTCACAGAGTTTAATATTCCTTTCAATATAGTAGTTTGGAAACCCTCTTTTTTTAGAATTTCCCAGTGGATATTGGAAGCGCTTATAGGCCTGAGGTAGAAAAGGAAATATCTTCACATAAAAACTAGACAGATTCATTCTCAGAAACTACCTTGTGATGTGTGCGTTCAAGTCACAGAGTTTAACATTTCTTTTGATAGAGAAGATTTGAAACACTCTGTTTGTAATGTCTGCAAGTGGATATTTGGACCTCTTTGAGGCATTCATTGAAAGGGGATTTTTCGTATAAAACTAGACAGAAAAATTCTGAGAAACTTCTTTGGGATGTGTGTATTCAACTCACAGAGTTAAACCCTCCTTTTGATAGAGCAGTTTTGAAACACTCTTTTTGTAGAATTTCCATGTGCATAATTGGAGTGCTTTGAAGCCAATGGTAGAAAACGAAATATCTTCATATAAGAACTAGACAGAATCATTCTCAGAAACCACTTTGTGATGTGTGCGTTCATCTCACAGAGTTTAACCTTTGTTTTGAGAGAGCAGGTTTGAAACAGTCTTTTTGTGAAATTTGCAAGTGGATATTTAAAGGGCTCTGTGGCCTCTTGTAGAAAAGGAAATATCTTCATATAACAACTAGACAGAAGCACTCTCAGAAACTACTTTGTGATGGGCACGTTGAACTCACACAGTTGAACCTTTCTTTTGATAGAGCAGTTTTGAAACACTCTGTATATGAAGTCTGTACGTGGATGTTTGGACCTCTTTAAGGCATTCGTTGGAACCGGGTTTCTACATATACAAGTAGGGAGAAGAATTTTGAGAAACTTCTTTGTGATGTGTGTATTCAACTCACAGATTTGAAACTTCCTTTGGATAGAGCAGTTTTGAAACATTCCTTTTGTGGAATTTCCAAGTGCATATGTAGAGTGCTTGGAAGCCTACGGTAGAAAACGAAATATCTTTGTATAAAAACTAGACAGAATCCTTCTCAGAAACATCTTTATGCTGTTTTCAACTCACAGAGTTGAACCTGTCTTTTGATAGAGCAGTTTTGAAACACTCTTTTTGTAGCATCTGCAAGTGTTCATTGGGAGCACTTTGATTCCTATGGACGAAAAGGAAATGTCTTCACATAAAAACTGGACAGAAGCATTCCGAGAAACAACTTTGAGATGTGTGCATTCAAGTAACAGAGTTGAACTTTTTTTTTGATAGAACAGTTCTGAAACACTCCTTTTGTAGAATCTGCTAGTGGATATTTGGAGATAGTTGAGGCCTTCGTTGGAAATGGGAATATCTTCACATAAAAACTAGACAGAAGCAGTCTCAGAAATTCCTTTGTGATGTGTGCATTCAACTCAATGAGTAGAAAGTTTCTTTTGATAGAGCAGTTTTGAAACATTCTTTTTGTAGAATCTGCAAGTGTTCGTTTGGAGCTCTTGGAGACCTATGGTGGAAAAGGAAATATCCTCATATAAAAATTAGACAAGAATTCTCAGAAACTTCTTTGTGATGTGTGCATTCAACTCACAGAATTGAACCTATCTTTTGATAGAGCAGTTTTGAAACACTCCTTTTGTAGAATATGCTTGTGGATATTTGGAGCTCTTTGAAGAATTCGTTTTAAACGGGATATCTTCACATAAAAACTAGACAGGAGAATTCTCAGAAACTGTTTGTGATGTGTGTATTCAACTCACGATGTTCAACCTTTCCTTCAATAGAGCACTTTTGAAACACTCTTTTTGTAGAATCTGCAAGTATTCATTTGGAGTGCTTTGAGGCTTATGATGGAAAAGGAAATATCTTCGCATTAAAACTACACAGAAGCATTATCAGAAACTTCTTTGTGATGTATGAATTCAACCTACAGCGTTGAACCTTCCTTTTGAGAGAGCAGTTTTGAAACAGTCTTTTTGTAGTATCTGCAGTTGGATATTTGGAGCGATTTGAGGCTTATGGTGGAAAAGGAAATATCTTCACATAAAAACTAGACAGAAGCATTCTCAGGAACTTCTTTCAGATGTGTGCATTCAACTAACAGAGTTGAACCTGTCTTTAATAGAACAGTTTTGAAACACTCCTTTTGTGGAATCTGCTTGTTGATATTTGGAACTCTTTGAGGAATTCGTTGGAAACAGGATATCTTCACATAAAAACTAGACGGAAGCATTCTCAGAAAGTTATTTTTGATGGGTGCATTCAACTCATAGAGTTGAAACTTTCTTTTGATAGAACAGTTTTGAAACAATCTTTTTGTAGAATCTGCAAGTGTTCTTTTAGAGCGCTTTGAAGCCTATGGTGGAAAGAAAATATCTTCACATAAAAACTAGACAGAAGCATTCCCATAAACTTCTTTGAGATGTGTGCATTCAACTCACATAGTTGAACTTTCCTTTTGAGATAGCAGTTTTGAATCAGTCTTTTTGTAGAATCTGCCAGAGGATATTTGGAGCACTTTGAGGCCTATGATGGAAAAGGAAATGTCTTCACATAAAAACTAGACTGAAGTATTCTCAGCAGCTTCTTTGTGATGTGTGCATTCAGCTAACAGAGTTGAAGGTTTCTTTTGATGGAGCACTTTTGACACATTCTTTCTGTATAATCTGCAAGTGTTCATTTGGAGCGATTTGAGGCCTATGATGGAAAAGGAAATATCTTCACATAAAAACTAGACAGAAGCATTCTCAGGAACTTCTTTATGATGTGTGCATTCAATGAAGAGAGGTGAACCTTTCTTTTGATAGAGCAGTTTTGAAACACTCTTTGTATAGGATCTGCAAGTTTTCATTTGGAGCGCTTTGCAGCCTCTGGTGGAAAAGCAAATATCTTCACATAAAAACAAGACAGAAACATTGTTAGACAGTTCTTTGTGATGTGTGCATTCAACTCACATAGGTGAACCTTTCTTTTGAGAGAGCAGTTGCGAAACAGTCTTTTTGTAGAATCTGCAAGTGGATATTTGGAGCGATTTGAGGACTATGGTGGAAAAGGAAATATCTTCACATAAAAACTAGACAGAAGCATTCTCAGAAACTCCTTTGTGATGTGTGCATTCAACTCACAGAGTTGAATCTTTCTTTTGATAGAGCAGTTTTGAAACACTCCTTTTGTAGAATCTACTTGGGGATATTTGGAACTTTTTGAGGAATTTGTTGGAAACGGTCTGTCTTCACAAAAAAACTAGACAGAAGTATTCTCAGAAAGTTCTTTGTGATGTGTGCATTCAACTCACAGAGTTGAACCTTTCTTTTGATAGAGCTGTTTTGAAACATTCTTTCTGTATAATCTGCAAGTGTTCATTTTGAGTGCTTTGAGGTCTATGTTGGAAAAGCAAATATCTTCACATAAAAACTAGACAGAAACATTCTCAGAAACTGCTTTGTGATGTCTGCATTCAACTCACAGAGTTGAACCTTTCTTTTGATAGAGCAGTTTTGAAACATTCTTTCTGTGTAATCTGCAAGTGTTCATTTTGAGCGCTGTGAGGCTTATGGTGGAAAATGAAATATCTTCACATAAAAACTAGACAGAAGCATTCTCAGAAACTTCTTTGTGATGTGTGCATTCAACTCACAGAGTTGATCTTTTCTTTTGATAGAATAGTTGTGAAACTCTTCTTTTGTAGAACCTGCACGTGTTCATTTTGAGCGCTTTGAGGAACAAGATGGAAAAAAAATATCTTCACATGCAAAATAGACAGAAGCATTCTCAGAAATTTCTTTGTGATGTGTGCATTCAACTCAAAAACTTGAAAATTTCTTTTGATAGAGCAGTTTTGAAACACTCCTTTTATAGGATCTGCAAGTGTTTACATTGAGAGCTTTGAGGTCTATGTTGGAAAAGGAAATAACTTCACATAAAAACTAGACAGCAGCAATCTCACATAATTCTTTGTGGTGGGTGCATTCAACTCAGAGTTGAACTTTTCTTTTGATAGAGCAGTTTTGTAACAATACTTTTGTAGAATCTGCTTGTGGATATTTGGAGCTCTTTGAGGAATTCATTGTAAACGGGTCATCTTCCCATAAAAACTAGACGGAAGCATTCTCAGAAACTGTTTTGTTATGTGTGCATTCAACTCACAGAGTTGAACCTTTCTTTTGAGGGAGCAGTTTTGTAACACTCTTTTTGTAGAATCTGCAATGTTCATTTGGAGTGCTTTGAGGCCTATGGTGGAAAAGGAATTATCTTCACATCAAAACCAGACAGAACCATTCCCAGAAACTTCTCTGTAATGTGTGCTTTCAACTCCCGGAGTTGAAACTTCCTTTTGTGTGGGTCGTTTTGTAACAGTCTTTTTGTAGAATCTGCCAGTGGATATTTGGAGCAATTTGAGGTCTGTGTTGGAAAAGGAAATATCTTCACATAAAAACTAAGCAGAATCATTCTCAGGAACTTCATTGTGATGTGTGCATCCAGCTAACATAGTTCAACATTTCTTTTGAGAGAGCAGTTTTGAAACACTCTTTTTGTAGAATCTGCACGTGTTCATTTTGAGAGCTTTGAGGCCTATGGTGGAAAAGGAAATATCTTCACATAAAAACTAGACAGAAGAATTCTCAGGAACTCCTTTGTGATGTGTGCGTTCAATTCACAGAGTTGAACCCTTCTTTTGATAGAGCAGTTTTGACACACTGCTTTTGTAGAATCTGCTTGTGGATATTTAGAGCTCTTTGAGGATTTCGTTGGAAACGGGCTATCTTCACAAAAAAACTAGACCGAATTATACTCAGAAAGCTTTTTCGTGTTGTGTGCATTCAACTCACAGTATTGAACATTTGTTTTGAGAGAGAAGCTTTGAAACATTCTTTATGTGTAATCTGCAAGTGTTCACTTTGAGCGCTTTGAGGCCTATGGTGGAAAAGGAAATACCTTCACATAAAAAATAGACAGAAGCATTCTGAGGAACTTCTTTGAGATGTGTGCATTCAACAATAGAGTTGAACCTGTCTTTTGATAGAGCACTATTGAAACACTCCTTTTGTACAAACTGCTTAGGGATATTTGGAACTCTTTGAGGAATTCGTTGGGAACGGGTATCTTCACATAAATACTAGACAGAAGTATTCTCAGAAAGTTCTTTGTGATCTGAGCATTCAACTCACAGAGTTGAACCTTTCTTTTGAAAGATCAGTTTTGAAACTCTCCTTTGGTAGAATCTGCTTGTGGATATTTGGAGCTCTTTGAGGAATTCATTGTAAACGGGATATCTACAAATGAAAACTAGACTGAAGCATTCTCAGAAACTGCTTTGTGATGTGTGCATTCAACTCACAGACTTGAACGCTTCTTTTGATAGAGCAGTTTTGAAAGAGTCTTTTTCTAGTGTCTGTAAGGGTTCATTTAGAGCGATTTGAAGCCTATGGTGGAAAAGGAAATATCTTCACATAAAAATTAGACAGAAGCATTCTCAGAAAGTTCTTTGTGATGTGTGCATTCAACCGACAGACTTGAACCTTTATTTTGATAGAGCAGTTTTGAAACACTCCTTTTATAATATCTGCAAGTGTTCACTTTCAGCGCATTGAGGCCTATGGTGGAAAAGGAAACATCTTCACATAAAAACTAGATAGAAGCATTCTAAGAATCTTCTTTGTGATGTGTGCATTCAGCTCATATAGTTGAACCTTTCTTTTGAGAGAGCAGTTTTGAAACAGTCTTTCTGTAGAACCTGCCAGTGGATATTTGGAGCGATTTGCGTTCTATGGTGGAAAAAGAAATATTTTCACATAAAAACTAGACAGAAGCATTCTCAGGAACTTCTTTGAGATGTGTGCATTCAAGTACCAGAGTTGAATCTGTCTTTTCATATAGCAGTGTTGAGACACTCCTTTTGTAGAATCTCCCTGTGGATATTTGGAGCTCTTTGAGGAATTCTTTGTAAACGGCATATCTTCAAATACAAACTAGACAGAAGCATTCTCAGAAACTACTTTGTGACGTGTGCATTCAACTCACAGAGCTGAACTTTCTTTTGATAGAGCTGTTTTGAAAAACTCTTTTTGTAGAATCTGCAAGTGTTCAATGGAGTGCTTTGAGGCCTATGGTGGAATAGGAAATATCTTCACATAAAAAGTAGACAGAAGAATTCTCATAAACTTTTTTGTGATGTGTGCATTCAACTCACAGAGTTGAACCCTTCTTTTGATAGAGCAGTTTTGAAAAAGTCCTTTTGTAGAATCTGCTTGTGCATGCTTGGAGCTCTTTGACAAATTCATTGTAAAAGGGATATCTTAACTTAAAAACTAGACAGAAGTATTCTCAGAAACTGCTTTGTGATGTGTGCATTCAACTCACAGAGTTGAACCTTCCTTTTGAGAGAGCAGTTTTGAATCAGTCTTTTTGTTGTATCTTTAAGCGGATATTTGGGAAGATTTGAGGCCTGTGGTGGAAAATGAAATATCTTCACATAAAAATTAGAAAGAAGCATTCTCAGAAACTGCTTTGTGAAGTGCGCATTCAACTCACAGAGTTGAACCTTCCATTTGAGAGAGTAGTTTTGAAACAGTCTTTTTGTAGAAACTGCAGTTGAATATTTGGAGCTATATGAATCCAATTGTGGAAAAGGAAATACCTTCACATAAAAACTAGACAGAAACATCTCAGGAACATCTTTTAGATGTGTTCATTCAACTAACAGAGTTGAACCTGTCTTTTGATAGAGCAGTATTGAAACACTACTTTTGTAGAATCTGCCTGTGTATTTTTGGAAGACTTTGAAGAATTCTTTGGAAACAGGTATCTTCACATAAAAACTAGACAGAAGCATTCTCAGAAAGTTCTTTGTTATGTGTGCGCTCAACTCACAGAGTTGAAACTTCGTTTTGTGAGAGCTTTTTGTAAGTCTTTTTGTAGAATCTGCCAGTGGATATTTGGACTGAGTTGAGTCCTTTTTTGGAAAAGGAAATATCTTCACATATAACTTACATAGAAGCATTCTCAGAAAACTCTTTGAGATGTGTGCATTCAACTGACGGAGTTGAACCTTTCTTTTGATAGAGCGGTTTTGAAACACTCTTTTTGTAGAATCTGCAAGTGTTCATTTGGAGACCTGTAAGGCCTATGGTGGAATTGAAATATCTTCACAAAAAAACTAGACAGAAGCATTCTCAGAAACTCTTTGTGGTGTGTGTGTGTTCAATTAACAGAGTTGAACTTTTCTTTTGATACAGCAGTTTTGAAACACTCATATTGGAGAATCTGCTTGTGGATATTTGGAACTCTTTGAGAAAATTCATTGGAAACGAGCTATCATCACAAAAAAACTAGACAGAAGTATACTCAGAAAGTTCTTGGTGATGTCTGCATTCAACTCACAGAGTTGAAACTTACTTTTGATAGGGCCGTTTTGAAATATTTTTTCTGTATAATCTGCAAGTGTGCATTTTGAACACTTTGGGGCCTATGGTGGAAAAGGAAGTATCTTCACATAAAAAATAGACAGAAGCATTCTCAGAAACTCCATTGTGATGTGTGTATTCAACTCACAGCGTTGAACTTTTCTTTTGATAGTGCAGTTTTGAAACTCTCCTTTTGTAGAATCTCCTTGGGCATATTTGGAGCTCTTTGAGGAATTCATTCTAAACAGGATATCTTCACATAAAAACTAGACAGAAGCATTCTCAGAAACTGCTTTGTGATGTGTGCATTCAACTCACAGAGTTGAACACTTCTTTTGATAGAGCAGTTTTGAAACAGTCTTTTTGTAGAATCTGCAATTGTTCATTTCTACCACTTTGAAGCCTGTGTTGGAAAAGGAAATATCTCCACATAAAAACTAGACGGAAGCAATCTCAGAAACTTCTTTATGAAGTGTGCATTCACTCACCGACTTGAACTTTTGGCAGAGCAGTTTTGAAACACTCCTTTTTAGAATCTGCCTTTGGATATTTGAAGTTCTTTGAGGAATTCTTTGTAAACGGGATATCTTCCCATAAAAACTAGACAGAAGCATTCTCAGAAGCTTCTTTGTGATATTTGCGTTCAACCCACAAAGTTGAACCTTTCTTTTCATGGAGCAGTTTTGAATCACACGTGTGTAGAATTTGAAAGTGTTCATTTTGAGTGCTTTGAGGACTATGGTGCAAAAGGAAATATCTTCACATGAAAACTAGACAAAAGCATTCTCCGAAACTTCTTTGTGATGTGTTCATTCAACTCACAGAGTTGAAACTTCCTTTTGTGAGAGCAGTTTTGTAAAAGTCTTTTTGTAGATTCCGCCACTGGATTTTTGGAGCGATTTGAGTCGTATGTTGGAAAAGGAAGTATCTTCACATAAAACCTAGACAGAAGCATTCTCAGAAATTTTTTTGAGACGTGTGCATTCAACTCACAGAGTTGAACCTTTCTTTTGAGAGAGCAGGTTGGAAACAGTCTTTCTGTAGTATTTTTAAGTGGATATTTGAAGCGATTTGAGGCCTATGGTGGAAAAGGAAATATCTTCACATAAAAACAAGACAGAAGCGTTCTCAGAAACTTCTTTGTGATGTGTGCATTCAACTCAAAGAGTTGAATCTTTCTTTTGATATAGCAGTTTTGAAACAGTCTTCTTGTAGAATCTACAAGCGTTCATTTTGAGCTCTTGGAGGCCTATGGTGGAAAAGGAAATATCTTCACATAATTACAAGACAGAAGCATTCTCAGAAACTTCTTTGTCATGTTTGCATTCAACTCACTGAGTTGAACATTCCTTTTGAGATAGCAGTTTTGAAACAGTCTTTTTGTAGAATCTTCCTCTGGATATGTGGAGTGATTTGAGGCCTATTGTGCAAAAGGAAATAACTTCACATAAAAAATAGTCAGAATCATGCTCAGGAACATCTTTGAGATGTGTGAATTCAACTAACAGAGTTGAACCTGTCTTTAGATAGAGCAGTTTTGAAACACTCCTTTTGTAGAATCTGCTTGTGGATATTTGGAACTCTTTGAGGAATTCATTGGAAACGGGTATCTTCACATAAATACTAGAGAGAAGCATTCTCAGAAAGTTCTTTGTGATGTGTGCATTCAACTCACAGAGTTGAACATTTCTTTTGATAGACCAGATTTGTAACACACTTTGTAGAATCTGCAAGAGTTCATTTTGAGCACTTTGAGGCCTATGGTGGAAAAGGAAATACCTTCACATAAATACTAGACAGAAGTATTCTCAGAAACTTCTCTGAGATGTGTGAATTCAACTCACAGCGTTGAAGCTTTCTTTTGGCAGAGCAGTATTGAAACACTCTTTTTGTGGAACCTGCAAGTGTTCATTTGGAATGATTTGAGGCCTGTGGTGGAGAAGGAAATATCTTCACATAAAAACTAGACAGAAGCATTCTAAGAAACTTCTTTGAGATGTGTACATTCAACTCACTGAGTTGAACATTTCTTTTGATAGAGCAGTTTTGAAACTCTCCTTTTGCAGAATCTACTAGTGGATATTTGGAGATATTTTAAGCCTTCTTTTGAAACGGGAATAACTTCACATAAAAACTAGACAGAAGCATTCTCAGAAACTTCTTTGTGATGTGTGCATTGAACTCACAATTTTGAACCTTTCTTTTGATAGAGCAGTTTTGAATCAGTGTTTTTGTAGAATTTACAAGTGTTCATTTGGAGCGCTTTGAGGCCTATGGTGGAAAAGGAAATATCTTCACATGAAAACTAGACAGAAGCATTCTCAGAAACTTCTTTGTGATGCCTGAATTCAACTCACAGAGTTGAACCCTACTTTTGATAGAGCAGTTTTCAAACACTACTTTTGTTGACACTGCTTGTGGATATTTGGAGCTCTTTGAGGAATTCTTTGTAAACGGAGTATCTTCAATTAAAAACTAGACAGAAGCATTCCCAGAAACTTATTTGTGATCTGTGCATTCAACTCACAGAGTTGAATCTTTCTTTTGATAGATGAGTTTTGAAACACTCTTTTTGTATAATCTGCAATTGTTCATTTGGAGCACTTTGAGTCCTATGGTGGAAAAGGAAATATCTGCACATCAATACTAGACAGAAGCATTCTCAAAAATTTCCTAGTGATGTGCACATTCCACTCACATAGTTCAACCTTTCTTTTGATAGAGCAGTTCTGAAACACTCTTTTTGTGTAATCTGCAACTGTTCATTTTGAGTGCTTTGAGGCCTATGGTGGAAAAGAAAATATCTTCACATAAAAACTAGATAGAAGAATTCTCAGAAACTTCTTTGTGATGTGTGTATTCAACTCTCAGAGTTGAACATTTCTTTTGATAGAGCAGTTTTGAAACATTCTTCTGTAGAATCTACATGTGTTCATTTGGAGCACTTTGAGGCCTATGATGGAAAAGGAAATAACTTCACATAAAAACTAGACAGAAGCATTCTCAGAAACTTCTTTGTGATGTGTGCATTCAACTCACAGATTTGAAGCTTCCTTTCAACAGAGCAGTATTGAGACACTCCTTTTGTGGAATCTGCAAGTGTTCATTTGAGTGCTTTGAGGCCTATAGTGGAGAAGGAAATATCTTCACATAAAAACTAGACAGAAGCAGTCTCAGAAATTTCTTTGTGATGTGTGCATTCAACTTACAGAGTTGAACCTTTCTTTTGATATAGCAGTTTTGAAACACTCTTTTTGTAGAATCTGCAAGTGTTCATTTGGAGTGCTTTGAGTCTTATGGTGGAAAAGGAAATATCTTCACATAAAAACTAGACAGAAGCATTCTCAGAAACTTCTTTGTGATGTGTGCATTCAACTCAGAGAGTTGAACATTTCTTTGGACAGAGCAGTTTTGAAACACTCTTTTGGTAGAAACTGCAAGTGTTCATTTGGAGTGCTTTGAGGCCTAAGGTGGAAAAGGAACTATCTTCACATAAAAACCAGACAGAAGCATTCTCAGAAACTTCTTTGAGATGTGTGCATTCAACTAACTGATTGGAACATTTCTTTTGATAGAGCAGTTTTGAAACACTCCTTTTGCACAATCTGCTAGTGGATATTTGGAGATATTTTAGGTCTTCTTTGGAAACGGGAATATCTTCACATAAAAACTAAACAGTAACATTCTCAGAAACATCTTTGTGATGTGTGCATTGAACTCATAATATTGAACCTTTGTTTTGATAGAGCTGTTTTGAATCAGTGTTTTGTAGAATCTGCAAGTGTTCATTTAGAGCTCTTTGAGGCCTATGGTGGAAAAGGAAATATCGTCACATGAAAACTATACAGAAGCATTCTCAGAAACTTCTTTGTGATGTGTGCATTCAACTCACAGAGTTGAACCCTTCTTTTGATACAGCAGTTTTCAAACACTACTTTTGTTGACTCTGCTTGTGGATATTTGGAGCTCTTTGAGGAATTCGTTGTAAACGGTGTATCTTCAAATAAAAACTGGACAGAAGCATTCTGAGAAACTTCTTTGTGATGTGTGCATTCAACTAACAGTATTGAACCTTTCTTTTGATAGAGAAGTTTTGAAACACTCTTTTTGTAGAATCTGCAAGTGTTCACTTGGAGCGCTTTGAGGCCTATGGTGGAAAAGGAAATATCTTCACATAAATACTAGACAGAAGCGTTCTCAAAAACTTCTTTGTGATGTGCACTTTCCGCTCACAGAGTTCAACCTTTCTTTTGATAGAGCGGTTCTGAAACACACTTTTTGTAGAATCTGCAAGTGTTCATTTTGAGCGCTTTGAGGTCTATGGTGGAAAAGAAAATAGCTTCACATAAAAACAAGACAGAAGCATTCTCAGAAACTTCTTTGTGATGTGCACCTTCCGCTCATAGAGTTCAACCTTTCTTTTGATAGAGCGGTTCTGAAACACATTTTTTGTAGAATCTGCAAGTGTTCATTTTGAGCGTTTTGAGTCCTATGTTGGAAAAGAAAATAGCTTCACATAAAAACAAGACAGAAGCATTCTCCGAAACTTTTTTGTAATGTGTGCATTCAACTCACAGAGTTGAAACTTCTTTTGTGAGAGCAGTGTTGTAGCAGCCTTTTTGAAGAATCTGCCAGTTGATATTTGGAGCGATTTGAGGTCTATGTTGCAAAAGGAAATATCTTCACATAAAAACTAGACAGAAGCATTCTAATGAACTTCTTTGTGATGTTTGCATTCAGCTAACAGATTTGAAATTTTTTGATAGAGCAGTTTTGAACACTCTTTTTGTAGAATCTTCAAGTGTTCATTTGTAGCGCTTTGAGGTCTATGGTGGAAAAGGAAATATATTCACATAAAAAGTAGACAGGAGAATTCTCAGAAACTTCTTTGTGATGTATGCATTCAACTCACAGAGTTGAACTTTCTTTTGATACAGCAGTTTTCAAACACCCCTTTTGTAGAATCTGCTTCTGGATATTTGGTGCTTTTGAGGAATTCGTTGTAAACAGGATATCTTCACATAAAAACTAGACAGAAGCATTCTCAGAAACTGCTTTGTGATGTGTATTTTCAGCTCACAGATTTGAACCTTTCTTTTGATAGAGCAGTTTTGAAGCACTCTATTTGTAGAATCTGCAAGTGTTCGTTGGAGCGCTTTGAGGCCTATGATGGAAAAGGAAATATCTTCACATAAAAACAAGACAGAAGCATTATCAGAACTTCTTTGAGATGTGTGCATTCAACTCACAGAGTTGAACCTGTCTTTTGACAGAGCAGTATTGAAACACTCTTTTTGTAGAATCTGCAAGTGTTCATTTTGTGAATTTTGAGGCCTATGGTGGAGAAGGGAATATCTTCACATAGAAACTAGACAGAAACATTCTCAGAAACTTCTTTTTGATATGTGCATTCAACTCACAGTGTTGACTTTTCTTTTGATAGAACAGTTTTGAAACACTGTTTTTGTAGAATCTTCTTGTGGATATTTTTAGCTCTTTGAGGAAATCGTTGTAAAAGGGATATCTTCCCATAAAAACTAGACAGAAGCATTCTCAGAAACTGCTTTGTGTTTTGTGCATTGAACTCACAGAGTTGAATATTTCTTTAGATAGAGCAGCATTGAAACACTTTTTTTGTAGAATCTGCAAGTGTTCATTTTGAGCGGTATGAGGCCCAAGATGGAAAAGGAAATATCTTCACACGAAAACCAGACAGAAGCATTCTCAGAAAGTACTTTGTGATGTGTGCATTCAACTCACAGTGTTGAACCTATATTTTGATAGAGCAGTTTTGAAAAACTCTTTTTGTAGAATCTGCAAGTATTTATTTTGAGCACTTTGAGGCTTATGATGGAAAAGGAAATATCTTCACATAAAAACCAGACAGAAGCATTATCAGGAACTTCTTTGAGATGTGTAGATTCAGCTAACAGAGGTGAACCTGTCTTTTGATAGAGCAGTATTGAAACACTCCTTTTGTAGAATCTGCTTGTGGATATTTGTAACTTTATGTGGAATTCGGTGGAAACAGCGATCTTCACATAAAAACTAGACAGAGGCATTCTCAGAAATTTCCTTGGTATGTGTGCATTCAATTCACAGAGTTGAACCTTTCTTTGGATAGAGCAGTTTTGAAACACTTTTTTGTAGAATCTGCTTATGTTCATTTGGAGCGCTTTGAGGCCTATGGTGGAAAACGAAGTATCTTCACATAAAAACTGGACAGAAGCATTCTCAGAAACACCTTTGTGATGTGTGTGTTCAATTCGCAGAGTTGAACTTTTCTTTTGATAGTGCAGATTTGAAACACTCCTTTTGTAGAATCTGCTTGTGGATATTTGGAACTCTTTAATTAGTTCATTGGAAATGGGCTATCTTCACAAAAAACTATACAGAAGTGTTCTCAGATAGTTCTTTGTGATGTGTGCATTCAACTCACAGAGTTGAACCTTTCTTTCGATAGAGCCATTTGAAACACTTCTTTTGTAGAATCTGCTTGTGGATATTTGGAACAATTTGAGGAATTCGTTGGAAACGGGTATCTTCACATAAAAGCTAGACAGAAGCGTTCTCAGAAAGTTCTTTGTGATGTGTGCATTCAACCTCCATAGTTGAAACTTTCTTTTGATAGAGTAGTTTTGAAACACTCTCTATGTAGAATCTGCAGGTGTTCATTTTGAGCGATTTGAGGCCTATGTAGGAAAAGGAAATATCTTCACATAAAAACTAGACAGAAGGATTCTCAGAAAGTTCTTTGTGACGTGTGCATTCAACCGACAGACTTGAAACTTTCTTTTCATAGAGCAGTTTTGAAACACTCTCTATGTAGAATCTGCAAGTGTTCATTTTGAGCACTTTGAGGCCTATGTAGGAAAAAGAAATGTCTTCACATAAAAACTAGACAGAAGCATTCTAAGAAACTTTTTTGTGATGTGTGTATTCAACTCCCAGAGTTGAAACTTCCTTTTCTGAGAGCACTTTTGTTCCAGTATTTTTGTAGAATTTGCCAGTGGATATTTTGTGCGATTTGAGGCCTATGTTGGAAAAGGAAATACATTCACATAAAAACTAGACAGAAGCATTCTCAGGAACTTCTTTGTGATGTGTGCATTCAGCTAACAGTGTCGAACCTTTATTTTGATAGAGCAGTTTTGAAACACTCTCTTTGTAGTATCTGCCTGGGTTCATTTGGAGCACTTTGAGGCCCATGGTGGAAAAGGAAATATCTTCACATAAAAACTAGACAGAAGCATTCTCAGAAACCTCGTTGTGATGTGTTCATTCAACTCACAGTGTTGAAACTTTCTTTTGGTAGAGCAGTTTTGAAACACTCCATTTCTAGAATCTGCAATTGGATATTCGGAGCTCTTTGAGGAATTCGTTTTATATGGGATAGCTTCCCATAAATACTAGACAGAAGCATTCTCAGAAACTGCTTTGTGATGTGTGCATTCAACTCACAGAGTTGAACATTTCTTTTGAGGGAGAAGTTTTGAATCATTCTTATTGTAGGATCTGCAAGTGTTTACTTGGAGCGCTTTGAGGCCCAAGATGGAAAAGGAAATATCTTCACATAAATACTAGACAGAAGCATCCTCAGAAACATTTTGTGATGTGTGAATTCAACTCACAGAGTTGAAACTTCCTTTTGTGAGAGCAGTTTTGTAACAGCCTTTTTGTAGAATCTGCCAGTGGATATTTGGTGCCATTTGAGGCGCATGTTGGAAAAGGAAATACCTTCATATAAAAAGTAGACAGAAGCATTCTCAAGAACTTCTTTGTGATGTGTGCATTCAGCTAACCGAGTGGAACCTTTCTTTTGATAGAGCAGTTTTGAAACACTCTTTTTGTAGAATCTGCAGGGGTTCTTTGGAGCACTTTGAGGCGTATGGTGGAAAAGGAAATATCTTCACGTAAAAACTAGACAGAGGCATTCTCAGAAACTTCTTTGTGATATGGGCATTCAGCTCCCAGATTTGAAACTTCCTTTTGTGGGAGCAGGTTTGTAATAGTCTTTTTGTAGAATCTGTCAGTGGATATTTGATGCAATTTGTTGCCTATGTTGGAAAAGGAAATACCTTCACATAAAAACTAGACAGAACCACTCTCAGGAACTCTTTGTGATGTGTGCATTCAGCTAACAGAGTCGAAAATTTATTTTGATCCAGCAGTTTTGAAGCACTCTTTTTGTAGAATCTGCAAGGTTCCTTTTGCACACTTTGAGGCCTATGGTGGGAAAGGAAATATCTTCATGTAAAAACTAGACAGAAGCATTCTCAGAAACTTCTTCGTGATATGTTCATTCAACTCACAGAGTTGAACCTTTCTTTTGGTAGGGCAGTTGGGAAACACAACATTTCTAGAATCTGCTTGTGGATATTTGGAGCTCTATGAGGAATTCGTTGTAAACGGGATATATTCCCATAAATACTAGACAGAAGCATTCTCAAAAACTACTTTGTGATGTGTGCATTCAACTCACAGAGTTGAACCTTTCTTTCGAGAAAGCAGTTTTGAAACACTCTTTTTGTAGTAGTTGCTAGTGTTTATTTGAGCACTTTGAGGCCCAAGATGGAAAAGGAAATATCTTCAAAAAAAAAAAAACTAAACAGAAGCATTCTCAGAAACCATTTTGTGATGGGTGCATTCAACTCACAGAGATCAACATTCCTTTTGAGAGAGCAGTTTTGAAAGTCTTTTTGTATAATCTGCCAGTTGATATTTGGAGCGATTTGAGGCCTATGTTGGAAAAGGAAATATCTTCACATAAAACTAGACAGAAGCATTCTCAGGAACCTCTTTGTGATGGGTGAATTCAGCTAAGAGAGTTGAACCTTTCTTTTGATAGAGCAGTTTTGAAACACGATTTTTGTAGAATCTGCAAGTGTTCATTTGGAGCGCTTTGAGGCCTATGATGGAAAAGTAAATATCTTCACGTAAAAACTAGAAAGAAGCATTCTCAGGAACTTCTTTGAGATGTGTGCATTCAACTCACAGAGCTGAACCTGTCTATTGGTAGAGAAGTTTTAAAACACTCCTTTTGTAGCATCTGCTTGTGGATATTTGGAACCCTTTGAGGAATTCATTGGAAACGGGTATTTTCACATAAAAATTAGACAGAAGCATTCTCAGAAAGATCTTTGTGATGTTTGCATTCAACTCACAGAGTTGAACCTTTCTTTTGATAGGGCAGTTTTGAAACACTGTTTTTGTAGAATCTGCAAGTCTTCATTTGGAGGGCTTTGAGGCCTAAGGTGGAAAAGAAAATATCTTCACATAAAAAGTAGACAGGAGCATTCTCAGAAAGACCTTTGTGATGTGTGCATTCAACTCACAGAGTTGAACCTTTTTTTTGAGAGAGCAGTTTTGAAACAGTCTTTTTGCAGAATCTGAAAGTGGATATTTGGAGCAATTTGAGGCCTATGTTGCAAAAGAAATATTTTCACATAAGAACTAGACTGAAGCATTCTCAGGAACGTCTTTGTAATGTGTGCATTCAGCTAAAAGAGTCGAAACTTTCTCTTGATAGAGCAGTTTTGAAACACTCTTTTTGTAGAAACTGCAAGTGTTCTTTTGGAGCGCTTTGAGGCCTATGGTGGAAAAGGAAATATCTTCACATAAAAACCAGACAGAAGAATTACCAGAAACTCCTTTGTGATGTGTGTGTTCAATTCACAGAGTTAGACCTTTCTTTTCATAGAGCAGTTTTTAAACACTCTTTTTGTAGAATCTGAAAGTGTTCATTTGGATCTCTTTGAGGCCCAAGATGGAAAAGGAAATATCTTCACATAAAAACTAGACAGAAGCGTTATTTGTAACTCCTTTGTGATGTGTGCATTCAACTCACAGAGTTCAACCTTCCTTTTGAGAGAGCAGTTTTGAAAAAGTATTTTTGTTGTATCTTGAAGTGGATATTTGGAGCGATTTGAGGCCTATGGTGGAAAAGGAAATATCTTCACATAAAAACTAGACAGAAGCATTATCAGGAACTTCTTTCAGATGTGTGCATTCAACTAACAGAGTTGAATCTCTTTTTTGATAGAGCAGTTTTGAAACACTCCTTTTGTAGAATCTGCTTGTGGATATTTGGAACTCTTGAAGAATTCTCTGGGAACGGGATCTCAGCACTTAAAAACCGGACAGAAGCATTCTCAGAAAGTTCTTTTTGATGTGTGCTTTCAACTCACAGTGTTGAACCTTTCTTTTGATAGAGCAGTTTTGATACACTCTTTTTATAGAATCTGCAAATGTTCATTTGGAGCGCTATGAGGCCTAAGGAGGAAAAGGAAATATCTTCACGTAAAAACTACGCAGAAGCATTCTCGGAAACATCTTTGAGACATCTGCATTCAAATAAAAGAGTTGAATATTTCTTTTCATAGAGCAGGTTTGAAATACTCCTTTTGTAGAATCTGCTATTGGATATTTGCATACATTATAGGCCTTCTTTTGAAACGGGAATATCTTCACATAAAAACTAGACAGAAGCATACTCAGAAAGTTATTTGTGATGGGTGCATTCAACTCACAGAGTTGAAACTTCTTTTGATAGAGCAGTTTCAAACACTCCTTTTGTAGAATCTGCTTGTGGATACTTGGAGCTTTTTGAGGAATGCATTGTAAACGGGGTATCTTCACATACAAAGTAGACAGAAGTATTCTCAGAAACTGCTTTGTGATGTGTGCATTTAACTCACAGAGTTGAACCTTCCTTTTGAGAGAGCAGTTTTGAAATAGTCTTTTTATAGTATCTGCAAGTGGATATTTGGATCGATTTGAGGCCTATGTTGGAAAAGGAAATATGTTCACATAAAAACTTGACGGAAGCATGCTCAGAAGCTCCTTTGGAATGTGTGCATTCAGCTAACAGAGTTGAACCTTTCTTTTGATAGAACAGTTTTGAAACACTCCATTTGCAGAATCTGCTAGTGGATATTTGGAGATATTTGAGGCCTTCGTTGGAAACGGGAATATCTTCACATAAAAACGAATCAGAAGCATTCTCAGAAAGTACTTTGTGATGTGTGCTTTCAACTCAAAGATTTGAACCTTTCTTTTGATAGAGCAGTTTTGAAACACTCCTTTTGTAGAATCTACTTGTGGATATTTGGAGCTCTTTTAGGAATTCCTTGTAAATGGGATGTCTTCACATAAACACTAGACAGAGCCATTCTCAGGAACTGCTTTGTGATGTGTGCATTCAACTCACAGACTTGAACAGTTCTTTTGATAGAGCAGTTTTGAAACACTCGTTTTGTGGAATCCGGAAGTGTTCATTTGGAGCGCTTTGAGGCCTATGGTTTAAAAGGTAATATCTTCACATGAAAATTAGACAGAACCATTCTCAGAAAATTCTTTGTGATGTGTGCATTCAACTCACAGAATTGAACCTTTCTTTTGATAGAGCAGTTGTGAAACAATCTTTTGTAGCATCTGCGAGTGTTCATTTGGAGTACTTTGTGGCCTATGGTGGAAAAGGATATATCTTCACATGTAAACTAGACAGAAGCATTCTCAGAAACTTCTTTGTGATGTGTGCATTCAACTCACAGTGTCGAACCTTTCTTTTGATAGAGCAGTTTTCAAACACTACTTTTGTAGTATCTGTATGGGGACATTTGCATCTCTTTGAGGAATTCGTTGTAAACGGGATATCTTCACATAAAAACTAGACAAAAACATTCTCAGAAACTGCTTTGTGATGTGTGATTTCAACTCACAGAGTTGAACATTTCTTTTGATAAATCAGTTTTGAAACCCTCTTTTTGTAGTATTTGCAATTGCTCATTTGGAGCACTTTGAGGCCTGTGATGGAAAAGGAAATATCTTCACATAAAAATTAGAAGAAGCATTCTCAGGAACCTCTTTGAGATGTGTGCATTCAACTAACATAGATGAACCTGTCTTTTGATAGAGCAGAATTGAAACACTATCTTTGTAGAATCTGCTTGTGGATATTTGGAATCCTTTAAGGAATTCTTTGGAAACGAGAATCTTCACATAAAAAAAAGACAGAAGCATTCTTAGGAAGTTCTTTGTGATGTGTGCATTCAACTCACAGAGTTGAACCTTACTTTTGATAGAGCAGTTTTGAAACACTCTTTTTGTAGAATCTGCAAGTGTTCATTTGGAGGGCTTTGAAGCCTATGGTGGAAAAGGAAATATCCTCACATAAACACTAGACAGAAGCATTCACAGAAACTTCTGCATGATGTGTGCATTCAGCTCACAGAGTTGAGCTTTATTTTCATAGAGCAGTTTTGAAACATTTTTTTTGTAGAATCTAAAAGTGTTCATTTTGAGTGCTTAGAGGCCTAAGGTGGAAAAGGAAATATCTTCACATAAAAACTAGACAGAAGCATTCTCAGAAACTTCTTTGTGATGTGTGCATTCAACTCACAGAGTTGAAACTTCCTTTTGTGAGAGCAGTTTTGTAACAGTCTTTTTGTAGAATCTGCCAGTGGATATTTGGAGCGATTTGAGGCATATATTGGAAAAGGAAATATCTTCACGTTAAAACTAGACAAAAGCGTTCTCAGGAACTTCTATGTGATGTGTACATTCAGCTAACCGAGTTGAAATTTCTTTTGAAGGAGCAGTTTTGAAACACTCTTTTTCTAGAATCTGCAAGTGTTCATTTGGAGCTATTTGACGCCTATTGTGGAAAAGAAAATATCTTCACATAAAAACTAGACAGAAGCATTCTCAAAAACTCGTTTGTGATGTGTGTGTTCAATTCACAGAGTTGAACCTTTCTTTTGATAGAGCAGTTTTGAAACACTCCTTTTGTAGAATCTGCTTGTGGATATTTGGAAATCTTTGAGGAATTCGTTGGTAAGGATCTATCATCACAAAAAAACTAGACAGAAATGTTCTCAGAAAGTTCTTTGTGATGCGTGCATTCAACTCACCGAGTTCAACCTTTCTTTTGATAGAGCTGTTTTGAAACTCACCTTTTGTAGAATCTGCTTGTGGATATTTGGAACTATTTGAGGAATTCGTTCTAAACGGGATATCTTCACATAAAAATTAGACTGAAGCATTCTCAGAAACTGCTTTGTGATGTGTGCATTCAACTCACAGTGTTGAACACTTCTTTGGATAGAGCAGTTTTGAATAGTCTTTTTGTAGAATCTGCAAGTGTTCACTTGGAGCGATTTGAAGCCTATGGTGGAGAACGAAATATCTTCACGTAAAAACTAGGCAGAAGTATTCTCAGAAAGTACTTTGTGATGTGTGCATTCAACTCACAGACTTGAACCTTTCTTTTGATAGAGCAGTTTTGAAACTCTCCCTTTATGGGATCTGCAAGTGTTCACTTTGAGAGCTTTGAGGCCTATGGTTTAAAAGGAAATACCTTCACATACAAACTAGACAACATCATTCTCAGAAACTTCTTTGTGATGTGTGATTTCAACTCACAGAATCGAACTTTTCTTTTGATAGAGCAGTTTTGAAACACTCCTTTTATAGGATCTGCAAGTGTTTACTTTGAGCGCTTTGAGGCCTATGGTGGAAAAGGAAATATCTTCACATAAACATTAGAGAGGAGCATCTTCAGAAACTTTCTTCTGATGTGTGCATTCAACTCACAGAGTTGAACCTTCCTTTTGAGAGAGCAGTTTTGAAACAATCTTTTTGTATTATCTGCAAGTGTATATTTTGTTCGATTTGTGGCCTATGGTGGAAAAGGAAATATATTCACATAAAAACTAGACAGAAACATTCTCAGAAACTGCTTTGTGATGTGTGCATTCAGCTAACAGAGTTCAACCTTTCTTTTGATAGAGCAGTTTTGAACCACTCTTCTTGTAGAATCTGCAAGTTTTCATTTGGATCGCTTTGAGGCCTATGGTGGAAAGGGAATTATCTTCACATAAAAACTAGACAAAATCTTTCTCAGAAACTCCTTTCTCATGTGTGTGTGTTCAATTCACATAGTTCAACCTTTCTTTTGATAGGAGAGTATTGTAACACTTATTTTGTAGAATCTGCTTATGGGTATTTGGAACTCTTTGAGCAATTCATTGGAAACATGTATCTTCACATAAAAACTAGACAGAAGCATTTTCAGACAGTTCTTTGTGGGGTGTGCATTCAACTCACAGAGTTCTACCTTTCTTTGGATAGAGCAGTTTTGAAACACTCTTCTGTAGAATCTCCAAGGGTTCCTTTGGATCACTTTGAGGCCTATGGTGGAAAACATAAAATATCTTCACATAAATAATGGACAAAAGCATTCTCAGAAACTTCTTTGTGATGTGAGCATTCAACTCACAGAGTTGAACCTTTCCTTTGAGAGAGCAGTTTTTAAACACTCTTTTTGTAGAATCTGCAAGTGTTCATTTAGAGCGCCTTGAGGCCTATGGTGAAAAAGGAAATATCTTCACATAAAAACTAGACAGAAGCATTCTCAGAAACTTCTCTGGGATGTGTGCATTCAACTCACAGAGTTGAAACTTCCTTTTGTGAGAGCAGTTTTGAAACAGTCTTTTCGTAGAATCTGCAGGTGGATATTTGGAGCGATTTGTGGCCTATGGTGGAAAGGAAATATCTTCACATAAAAACTAAACAGAAGCATTCTCAGGAACTTCTTTGTCATGTGTGCATTCACCTAACAGAGTGGAACCTTTCTTTTAATAGTGCAGTTTTGAAACACTCTTTTTGTAGAATCTGCAAGTGTTCATTTGGAGGGCTTTGAGGTCAATGGTGGAAAAGGTAATATCTTCACATAAAAACAAGACAGAAGCATTCTCAGAAACTCCTTTGTGATGTGTGCGTTCCATTTACAGAGTTGAAGCTTTCTTTTGGTAAGGCAGTTGTGAAACACTCCTTTTGTAAAATCTGCTTGTGGATATTTGGAACTCTTTGAGGAATTCAATGGAAACGGGTTATCTTCACAAAAAACCTACACAGTAGTATTTTCAGAAAATTCTTTTTTATGTGTGCATTCAACTCACAGAGTTGAACCTTTCTGTTGGTAGAGCAGATGTGAAACACTCCTTTTGTAGTATCTGCTTCTGGATGCTTGGAACTCTTGGAGGAATTCTTTGGAAACGGGCTATCTACACAAAAAAAACTAGACAAAAGTATTCTCAGAAAGTTCTTTGTGATGTGTGCATTCAACTCACGGAGTTGAACCTTTCTTTTGATACAGCAGTTTTGAAACATTCTTTCTGTATAATCTACAGGAGTTCACTTGGAGTGCTTTAAGGCCTATGGTGGAAAAGGAAATATCTTCACATAAACACTAGACAGAATCATTCTCAGAAACTTTTCTGTGATGTGTGCATTCAACTCACAGAGTTGAACCTTTCTTTTGATAGAGCAGTTTTGAAACACTCCTTTTGAAGAATCTGCTTGTGGATATTTTGAGATCTTTGAGGAATTCGTTGTATACAGGATATCGTCACATACAAACTAGACAGAAGCATTCTCAGAAACTGCTTTGTGATGTGTGCATTCAACTCAGAGAGTTGAACCTTCCTTTTGAGAGAGCAGTTTTGAAACAGTCTTTTTGTAGAATCTGCAGGTGGATATTTGGAGCGATTTGAGTCCTGTGGTGGAAAAGGAAATATCTTCACATAAAAACTAGCCAGAAGCATTCTCAGGAACTACTTTGAGATGTGTGCATTCAACTAACAGAGTTGAACCTGTCTTTTGATAGAGCAGTATTGAATCACTCCCTTTGTAGAATCTGCTTGTGGACATTTTGAACTCTTTGAGGAATACTTTGGAAACGGGGAGCTTCAAAAAAAACTAGACAAAAGCATTCTCAGAAAGTTCTTTGTGATGTGTGCATTCAACTCACAGAGCTTAACCTTTCTTTTGATAGAGCAGTTTTGAAACACTCATTTTATCGTATCTGCAGGTGTTCACTTTGAGCATTTTGAGGCCTATTGTGGAAAGGGAAATATCTTCACATAAAAGCTAGACAGAAGTATTCTCAGAAACTTCTTTGTGATGTATGCACTCAACTCTCGGAGTGGAATCTTTCTTTTGATAGAGCAGTTTTGTAGCCCTCCTTTTATAGGATCTGCAAGTGTTCATTTTGCGCAACTTGGGGCCCATGGTGGAAAAGGAAATATGTTCACATAAATACTAGACAGAAGCATTCTCAGGAACTTCTTTGAGATGTGTGCATTCAACTAAAAGAGTTGAACCTGTCTTTTGATAGAGCAGTTTAGAAAGACTCCTTTTGTAGAATCTGCTTGTGAATATTTGGAACTTTTTGAGGAATACCTTGGAAACGGGTATTTTCACATAAAAACTAGACAGAAGCATTCTCAGAAAGTTCTTTGTGATGTGTGCATTCAACTCACAGTGTTGAACGGTTCTTTTGATAGAGCAGATTTGAAACTTTCTTTCTGTATAACCTGCGAGTGTTCATTTTGAGCGCTTTGAGGCCTATGGTGGAAAAGGAAATGTCTTCACATAAAAATTAGACAGAAACATTCTCAGAAATTTTTTTGTGATGTGTGCATTCAACTCATGATAGAGCAGTTTTGAAACACTCCTTTTGTAGAATCTGCTTGTGGTTATTTGGAGCTCTTTGAGGAATTCGTTTTAAAGGGAATATCTTCACATACAAAGTAGACAGAAGCATTATCAGATACTGCTTTGTGATGTGTGCATTCAACTCACAGAGTTGAACCTTCCTTTTGTGAGAGCAGACTTGAAACACTCTCTGTTAGGTATCTGCAAGTGGCTTTTTTGAGTGAATTGAGGCCTATGGTGGAAAAGGAAATATCTTCACATAAAAGCTAGACAGAAGCTTTCTCACAGACTGCTTTGTGATGTGAGTATTCAACACAGAGAGTTGAGCCTTCCTTTTATGAGAGCAGTTTTGAAACACTCTTTTTGTAGAATCTGAACGTGGATATTTGGGGCAATTTGAGTCCCATGGTGGAAAAGGAAATATTTTAACATAAAAACTATATAGAAACATTCTCAGGAACCTCTTTTTGGTGTTTGCATTCATCTAACAGAGTTGAACCTTTCCTTTGATAGAGCAGTTTTGAAACACTCTTTTTGTAGAATATGCAAGGGTCCATTTGGCATACTTTGAGGCCTATGGTGGAAAAGGAAATAGCTTCACATAAACACTAGACAGAAGCATTCTCAGAAATATCTTTGTGATGTATGTGTTCAATTCACAGAGTTGAACCTTTCTTTTGATAGAACAGTTTTCAATCACTCCTTTGGTAGAATCTGCTTGTGGATATTTGGAACTCTTTGAGGCCTTCGTTGGAAACGGGGATATCTTCACATACAAACTAGACAGAAGCATTCTCAGGAACTTTTTGAGATGTGTGCATTCAACTAACAGAGTTCAACCTGTCTTTTGATAGAGCAGTATTGAAACACTCCTTTTGTAGAATCTGCTTTTGGATATTTTGAACTCTTTGAGGAATACGTAGGAAACGGGTATCTTCACATAAAAACTAGACAGAAGCATTCTCAGAAACTTCTGTGTGATGTGTGCATTCAACTCACAGAGTTGAAACTTCTTTTGTGAGAGCAGTGTTCTATCAGTCTCTTTGTAGAATCTGCTAGTGCATATTTGGAGCGATTTGAGGCCTGTGTTGGAAAATGAAATATCTTCACATAAAAACCAGACAGAAGCATTCTCAGGAACTTATTTGTGATGTGCGAATTCAGCTAACAGAGTTGAACCTTTCTTTTGATAGACCAGGTTTGAAATGCTCTTTTTGTAGAATCTGCAAGTGTTCATTTGGAGCGCTTTGAGGCCTATGGTGGAATAGGAAATATCTTCACATAAAAGCTAGACAGAAGCATTCTCAGAAACTTCTTTGAGATGTGTGAATTCAAGTAACACAGTTGAACTTTTCTTTTGATAGAGCAGTTTTGAAACACTCCTTTTGCAGAATCTGCTAGTGGATAATTTCAGATATATGAGGCCTTCGTTGGAAACGGGAATATCTACACATAAAAACTAGACTGAAGCATTCCCAAAAACTGCTTTGTGATGTGTGCATTCAACTCACAGATTTGAATACTTGTTTTAATAGAGCAGTTTTGAAACACACTTTTTGTGGAATCTGCAAGTGTTCATTTGGAGCGCTTTGAGGCCTATGTTGGAAAAGGAAATATCTTCAAATGAAAACTAGATAGAAGCATTCTCAGAAACCACTTTGTGATGTGTGCATTCAACTCGCAGACTTGAACATTTCTTTTGATAGAGCAGTTTTGCGACACTCTTTTTGTAGAATTTGCCTGTGTTCATTTGGAGTGCTTTGAGGCCTATGGTGGAAAAGGAAATATCTTCACATGAAAACTAGACAGAGGCATTTTCAGAAACTTCTTTGTTATGTGTGCATTCATCTCACAGAGTTGAACCTTTCTTCTGATAGAGCAGTTTTGAAACACTCTTTTTGTAGAATCTGCCAGTGTTCATTTTGAGCGCTTTGAAGCCTATGGTAGAAAAGGAAATACTCTCACATAAAAACTAGACAGAAGCATTCTCAGAAAGTTCTTTGTGATGTGTCCATTCAACTGACAGAGTTGAACATTCTTTTTGAGAGGGCAGTTTTGAAACAGTCTTTTTGCAGTATCTTTCAGTGGATATTTGGAGTGCTTTGTGGCCTATGATGGAAAAGGAAATATCTTCACATAAAAACTAGACAGAAGCATTCTCAGGAACTTCATTGAGATGTGTGCATTCAACTAACAGACTACAACCTTTCTTTTGATAAAGCAGTTTTGAAACGTTTCTTTTGCAGAATCTGCTTATGGATATTTTGAACTCTTTGAGGAATTTGTTGGAAACGGGATATCTGCACATAAAAACTAGACAGAAGCATTCTCAGAAAGTTATTTGTGATGTGTGCATTCAACTCACAGAGTTGAACCTTTCTTTTGATAGAGCAGTTTTCAAACAGTCCTTTTTTGGAATCTGCTTGTGGGTATTTGGAGCTCTTTTAGGAATTCGTTGTAAACGGGACAGCTTCACATAAAAACTAGACAGAAGCATTCTCAGAAACTGCTTTGTGATGGGTGCATTCAACTCACAGAGTTGAATCCTTCTTTTGATAGAGAGGTTTTGAAACAGTCTTTTTGTAGAATCTCCAAGTGTTCATTTGGAGCGCTTTGAAGCCTTTGGTGGAAAAGGAAATATCTTCACGTAAAAACTATGCAGAAGCATTTTCAGAAACTGCTTTGTGATGTGTGCATTCAACTCACAGAGTTGAAGCCTTCTTTTGATAGAGTGGTTTTGAAACAGTCTTTTTGTAGAATCTCCAAGTGTTCATTTGGAGCACTTTGAAGCCTTTGGTGGAAAAGAGAATATCTTCATGTAAAAACTACGCAGAAGCATTCTCAGAAACTTTTTGTGATGTATGCATTCAACTCACAGGTTTGAACTTTCTTTTTGATAGAGCACTTTTGAAACATTCCTTTTGTAGAAACTGCTTGCGGATATTTGGACCTCTTTGAGGAATTCGTTGGAATCGGGATATCTTCACATAAAAAACTAGACAGAAGTATTCTCAGAAACTGCTTTGTGATTTGTGCTTTGAAATCAGAGTTGAGTCTTTCTTTTGCTAGAGCAGTTTTGAAAGAGTCTTTTTGTAATATCTGCAGGTGGATATTTGGAGGGCTTTGAGGCCTATGGTGGAAAAGGAAATAGCTTCACATGAAACCTAGACAGAAGCATTCTCAGAAACATTTTTGTGATGTGCTCATTCAATTCACAGAGTTGAAACTTTCTTTTGATAGAGCAGTTTGAAACACTGCTTTTGTGGAATCTGTTGTGTATATTTGGAGCTCTTTGAGGAATACATTGTAAATGGGATATCTTCACATACAAACTATACAAAGCATTCTCAGAAACTGCTTTGTGACGTGTGCATTCAACTCACAGAGTTGAACCTTCCTTTTGAGAGAGCAGATTTGAAACCATCTTTTTGTAGTTTCAGCAAGTGGATATTTGGAGCTATTTGAGGCCTATGATGGAAAAGGTAATATCCTCACATAAAAACTAGACGAAGCATTCTCAGGAACTTCTTTGTGATGTGTGCATTCAACTAACATAATTGAACCTTTCTTTTGACAGAGCAGTTTTGAAACACTCTTTTTGTAAAATCTGCAAGTGTTCATTTGGAGAGCTTAGAGGCGTATGGTGGAAAAGGAAATATCTTCACATAAAAACTAGACAGAAGCATTCCCAGAAATTCCTTTGTGATGTGTGTGTTCAATTCACAGAGTTAATCCTTTCTTTTGATGGAGTAGTTTTGAAACACTCTTTTTGTAGAATCTGCTTGTTGACATTTGGAACTCTTTGAGGAATTTGTTGGAAACGGACTATCTTCACCAAAAAACTAGACAGAGGTATTCTCAGAAATTTCTTTGTGATGTGTGCATTCTACCAACAGAGTTGAACCTTTCTTTTGATAGAGTAGATTTGAAACTTTCTTTCTGCATAATCTGCAAGTGTTCATTTTGAGCGCTTTGAGGCCTACGGTGGAAAAGGAAATATCTTCACATGAAAACTAGACAGAAGCATTCTCAGAAAATTTTTTGTGATGTGTACATTCAATTCACAAATTTGAACTTTTCTTTTGATAGAGCAGTTTTGAAACACTGCTTTTGTTGAATCTGCTTGTGGATCTTTGGAGCTCTTTGAAGTATTCGTTGTAAACGGGATACCTTCACATACAAACGAGACAGAAGCATTCTCAGAATCGGCTTTGTGATGTGTGCATTCAACTCACAGAATTGAACCATCCTTTTGAGAGAGCAGTTTTCAAACAGTCTTTTTGTAGTATCTGCAAGTGGATATTTGGAGCGATTTGAGGCCTATGATGGAAAAGAGAAATCTTCACATAAAAACTAGACAGAAGCATTCTCAGAAACTGCTTTGTGTTGCATTCATTCATCTCACAGAGTGGAACCCTTCTTTTGATAGAGCAGTTTTGAAATAGTCTTTTTGTAGTATCTGCAAGTGTTCATTTGGAGCGCTTTGAAGCCTAGGGAGGAAAAGGAAATATCTTCACATCGAAACTAGACAGAAGCATTCTCAGGAACTCCTTTGAGATGTGTGCATTCAAAGAATAGAGTTGAATTTGTCTTTTCATAGAGCAGTATTGAAACACTCCCTTTGCAGAATCTTCTTGAGGATATTTGAAACTCTTTAAGGACTCTTTGGAAATGGTTATCCTCACATAAAAACTGCACAGAAGTATTCTCAGAAAGTACTTTGTGATGTGTGCATTCAACTTACCAAGTAGAACTTTTCTTTTCATAGACCAGGTTTTAAATCCTCTTTTTGTAGAATCTGCAAATGTTCATTTGGAGCTCTTTGAGGCCTATGGTGGAAAAGGGAATATCTTCACATAAATACTAGACAGAAGCATTCTCAGAAATAGCTTTGTGATGTGTGTGTTCAATTCACGGAGTTGAACCTTTCTTTTGATAGAGCAGTTTTGAAACATTAATTTTGTAAAATCTGCTTGTGGATATATGAAACTCCTTGAGGAATTCGTTGGAAACGGGCTATCATCAGAAAAAAAAACAGAGAGAAGTATTGTCAGAAAGTTCTTTGTGATATGTGCATTTAACTCACAGAGTTGAACCTTTCTTTTGATAGAGCAGGTTTGAAACTTTCTTTCTGTATAATCTGCAAGTGTTCATTTTGAGCGCTTTGAGGCCTACGGTGGAAAAGGAAACACCTTCAAATGAAAACTAGACAGAAGCATTCTCAGAAACTTTTTTGTGATGTGTACATTCCTTTCACAGAGTTGAACCTTTCTTTTGATAGAGCAGTTTTGAAACACTGTTTTGTAGTATCTGCTTGTGGATATTTGGATCTTTTTGAGGAATTCATTGTAAACGGGATATCTTCACATACAATCTAGAGAGAAGCATTCTCAGAAACTGCTTTGTGATGTGTGCATTCTACTCAAAGAGTTGAACCTTCCTTTTGAGAGAGCAGGTACCTAACAGTCTTTTTGTAGTATCTGCAAGTGGATATTTGGAGCTATTTGAGGCCTATGATGGAAAAGGAAATATCTTTACATAAAAACCAGACAGAAGCATTCTCACAAACTGCTTTGTGATGTGTACATTCAACACATTGAGTTGAACCTTCCTTTTGAGAGAGCAGTTTTGAAACAATCTTTTTGTAAAATCTGTAAGTGTTCATTTGGAGCGCTTTGAAACATATGGTGGAAAAGGAAATATCTTCACATAATACGAGAAAGAAGAATTCTCAGAAACTTCTTTGAGATGTGTGCATTCAACTAACGGAGTTGAACCTGTCTTTTGATAGAGCAGTATTGAAACACTCCTGTTGAAGAATCTGCTTGTGGAAAGTTGGAACTATTGGGAAATTCGTTGCAAAAGGTATCTTCATATAAGAACTAGACAGAAGCATTCTCAGAAAGTTCTCTGTGATGTGTGCATTCATCTCACGGAGTTGAACCTTTCTTTTGATAGAGCAGTTTTGAAACACACTTTACGTAGTATCTGCAAGTGTTCATTTGGAGCGTTTTGAGGACTATGTTGGAAAAGAAAATATCTTCACTTAAAAACTAGACAGAAGCATTCTCAGAAACACCTTCGTGATGTGTGTATTCACTTCACAGAGTTGAACGTTTCTTTTGATATAACAGTTTTGAAACACTCCTTTTGTAGAATCTGTTTGTGGAAATCTGAAACTCTGTAGGAATTCATTGGAAACGGGCTATCTTCAGAAATAAACTAGAGAGAAGTATTTTCAGAAAGTTATTTGTGATGTGTGCATTCAATTCACAGAGTTCTACCTTTCTTTTGATAAAGCAGATTTGAAACATTCTTTCTGTATAATCTGCAAGTGTTCCTTTGAGCGCTTAGAGACCTATGGTGGAAAAGGAAAAATCTTCACATAAAAACTAGACAGAAGCATTTCCAGAAACTTTTCTGTGATGTGTGCATTCAACTCACAGAGTTGAACATTTCTTTTGATAGAGCACTTTTGAAACACTCCTTTTGTAGAATCTGCTTGTGGATATTTGGAGCTCTTTGAGGAACTTGTAGTAAACGGGAAATCTTCACATACAAACTAGAAGCATTCTCAGAAACTGCTTTGTTATTGTGTGCATTCAACTCACAGAAATGAAACTTCCTTTTGAGAGAGCAGTTTTGAAACAACGTTTTTGTACTATCTGCAAGTGGATATTTGGAGTGATTTGCTGCCTAGGGTGGAAAAGGAAATATCTTCACATAAAAACAAGACAGAAGCATTTTCAGAAACAACTTTCTGATGTGTGTGTTCAATTCACAGAGTTGAACCTTTATTTTGACAGAGCAGTTTGAAGCACTTCTTTTGTAGAATCTGCTTGTGGATATATGAAACTCTTTGAGGATTTCGTTGGAAATGAGCTATCGTCAGAAAAAAAATAAACAGAAGTATTCACAAAAAGTTCTTTGTCATGTGTGCATTCAAATCACAGAGTTGAACCCTTCTTTTGATAGAGCAGATGTGAAACATTTTTTCTGTATAATCTGCAGGTGTTCGTTATGAGCTCTTAGAGGCCTATGGTGGAAAAGGAAATATCTTCACGTAGAAACTGGACAGAAGCATTCTCAGAAACTGCTTTGTGATGTGTGCATTCAACTTACAGATTTGAACCCTTCTTTTGATAGAGCAGTTTTGAAACAGTCTTTTTGTAGAATCTGCAAGTGTTTCTTTGGAGCGCTTTGAAGCCTATGGTGGAAGAGGTAATATCTTCACATAAAAAGTAGACAGAAGCATTCTCACAAACACGTTTTTGATGTGTGTGTTCCATTCACAGGGTTGAACCTTTCTTTTGTCAGAACAGTTTTGAAACATTCCCTTTGTAGGATCTGTTTGTGGATATATGAAACTCTTTATGAATTCGTTGGAAACGGGATATCTTCAGAAATAAACTATCCAGAAGTATTCTCAGAAAGTCCTTTGTGATGTGT
This sequence comes from Homo sapiens, assembly GCF_000001405.40. Classification (NCBI taxonomy): domain Eukaryota; kingdom Metazoa; phylum Chordata; class Mammalia; order Primates; family Hominidae; genus Homo; species Homo sapiens. Next base: position 37,306,250 of record NC_000012.12, read on the forward strand.
GCATTCAATTCACAGAGTTGAACCTTTCTTTTGTTAGATCAGATTTGAAACATTCTTTCTGTATATTCTGCAAGTGTTCATTTTGAGCTCTAACAGTTCTATGGCGGAAAAGGAAATATCTTCACACAAAATCTAGACAGAAACATTTTCAGAAACTTTTTTGTGATGTGTGCATTCAACTCAGAGTTGAAACTTTCTTTTGGTAGAGCACTTTTGAAACACTCCTTTTGTAGAATCTGCTTTTGGATATTTGGATCTCTTTAAAGAATTCGTTGTAAACGGGATATCTTCATATACAAAAGAGACAGAAGCATTCTCAGAAACTGCCTTGCGATGTGTGTATTCAACTAATAGAGTTGAATCTGTCTTTTGATAGAGCAGTATTGAAACACTCCTTTAGTAGAATCTATTTCCGGATATTTGGAATTCTTGGAGAAATCTTTGGAAACGGGTATCTTCACGTAAAAAATAGACAGAAGCATTCTCAGAAAGTTCTTCTGATGTGTGCATTCAACTCATAGAGTTGAACCTTTCCTTTGTTAGAGTAGTTTTGAAACACACTTTTGTGGAATCTGCAAGTGTTCATTTAGATCGCTTTGGGGACTATGGTTGAAAAGGAAATATCTTCACATAAAAACTACACAGAGAAATTCTGAGAAACAACTTTGTGATGTGTGTGTTCAATGCGCAGAGTTAAACCTTTCTTTTGATAGAGCAGTTTTGAAACACTACTTTTGTAGAAGCTGCTTGTGGTTATATGAAACTCTTTGAGGAATTTGTTGTAAACGGGCTATCTTCACAAAAAAAAATAGACAGAAATATTCTCAGAAAGTTCTTTGTGATGTGTGCATTCAACTAACAGAGTTGAAACTTTCTTTTGATAGAGCAGATTTGAAAAATTCTTTCTGTATAATCTGCAAGTGTCCATTTTAAGAGCTTAGAGGCCTATGGTGGAAAAGAAAATATCTTCACATAAAAACTAGACAGAAGCATTCTCAGAAACTGCTTTGTGGTGTGTGCCATCCACTCACAGATTTCAACCTTCCTTTTGAGAGAGCAATTTAGAAACAGTCTTTTTGTGGTACCTGCAAGTGGATATTTGGAGCGATTTGAGGCCTCAGGTGTAAAAGGAAATATCTTCACATAAAAACTAGAGCAAAGCATTCTAAGAAACTGCTTTGTGATGTGTGCATTTAACTCACAGAGCTGAGCCTTTCTTTTGATAGAGCAGATTTGAAACAGTCTTTATGTATTATCTGCAGGTGAATATTTGGAGCGATTTGAAGCCTAAGTTGAAAAAGCATATATCTTCACATAAAAACTAGACAGAAGCATTCTCAAGAACTTCTTTGTGATGTGTGCATTCAGCTAACATATCTGAACCTTTCTTTTGACAGATCAGCTTTTAAACACTCTTTTTGTACAATCTGCAAGTGTTCATTTGGAGAGCTTTGAGGCCTGTGGTGGAAAAGGAAATATCTTCACTTAAAACTAGACAGAAGCATTCTCAAGAACTTCTTTGTGATGTGTGCATTCAGCTAACATATCTGAACCTTTCTTTTGACAGATCAGCTTTTAAACACTCTTTTTGTACAATCTGCAAGTGTTCATTTGGAGAGCTTTGAGGCCTGTGGTGGAAAAGGAAATATCTCTACTTAAAACTAGACAGAAGCATTCTCAGAAACTCCCTTGTGATGTGTTAGTTCAATTCACAGAGCTGAACCTATCTTTTGATAGAGCAGTTTTGAAACACTCCTTTTGTAGAAACTGCCTGTGGATATTTGGAACTCTTTGAGGAATTCGTTGGAAAGGGGCTATCTTCACAAAAAAACTAGAAGTATTCCCAGAAAGTTCTTTGTGATGTTATCATTCAACTCACAGTGTTGAACTTTTCTTTTGATAGAGCAGATTTGAAACTTTCTTTCTGTATAATCTGCAAGTGTTCAGTTTGAGCGCTTTGAGGACAATGGTTGAAAAGGAAATATCTTCTCATGAAAATTAGACGGAAGCATTCTCAGAAACTTTTTTGTGATGTGTGCATTCAATTCACAGAGTTGAACATTTCTTTTGATAGAGCAGCTTTGAAACACTGCTTTTCTAGAATCTGCTTGTGGATATTTGGATCTCTATGAGGAATTCGTTGTAAATGGTGTATCTTCACATACAAAATAGACAGAAGAATGCTCAGAAACTGCTTTTTGACGTGTGCACTCAACTCAGAGTTGAATCTATCTTTTCAGAGAGCATTTTTGAAACAGTCTTTTTGTAGTATCTGCAAAGTGGATATTTGGTGCGATTTGAGGCCTATGATGGAAAAGGAAATATCTTCACATAAAAAGGAGACAGAAACATTCTCAGAAACTCCTTTGTGATGTGTGCATTCACCGCACAGAGTGGCACCATTCTTTTGAGAGAGCACTTAAGAAACAGTCTTTCTGTAGAATCTGCAAGTGTTCATTTGGAGCTCTTTGAATCCTATGGTGGAAAAGGAAATATCTACACATAAAAACTATACAGAAGCATTCTCAGAAACTTGTTTGTGATGTGTGCATGCAATTCACAGGGTTGAAACTTTCTTTTCATAGAGCAGTTTTGAAACACTGCTTTTGTAGAATCTACTTGTGGATATTTGGAGCTATTTGAGGAATTCGTTGGAAACGGGATATCTTCACATACAAACTAGACAGAAGCATTCTCAGAAACTGCTTTGTGATGTGTTCATTCAATTCACAGAGTTGAACACTTCCTTTGATATAGCAGTTTTGAAATAGTATTTTTGTAGAATCTGCAAGTGTTCATTTGGAGCTCTTTGAATCCTATGGTGGAAAAGGAAATATCTACACATAAAAACTATACAGAAGCATTCTCAGAAACTTGTTTGTGATGTGTGCATGCAATTCACAGGGTTGAAACTTTCTTTTCATAGAGCAGTTTTGAAACACTGCTTTTGTAGAATCTACTTGTGGATATTTGGAGCTATTTGAAGAATTCGTTGGAAACGGTATATCTTCACATACAAACTAGACAGAAGCATTCTCAGAAACTGCTTTGTGATGTGTGCATTCAACTCACAGAGTTGAAGCTTTCTTTTGAGAGAGCAGTTTTGAAGCAGTCTTTTTGAATATCTGCAAGTTGATATTTGCAGTGATTTGAGGCATAAGATGGAAAAGGAAATATCTTCACATGAAAACTAGACAGAAGCATTCTCAGAGACTGCTTTTTGATGTGTGCATTCACCTCACAGAGTGGAACACTTCTTTTGAAAGAGCAGTTTTGAAACACACTTTTTGTAGAATCTGCAAGTGTTCATTGGAGCGCTTTCAGGCCTATGGTGGAAAAGGAAATATCTTCACATAAAAACTAGACAGAAGCATTCTCAGGAACTTCTTTGAGATGTGTGCATTCAACTAACACAGTTAAACCTGTCTTTTGATAGAGCAGTATTGAAACACTCCTTTTGTAGAATCTACTTGTGGATATTTGGAACTCTTTGAGGAATTATTTGGAAATTGATAACATCACATATAAAATAGAGAAAAGCATTCTCGGAAAGTTCTTTGTGATGTATGCATTCAACTCACAAAGTTGAACCTTTCTTTTGATAGAGCAGTTTGGAAACACACTTTTTGTAGTAACTGCAAGTGTTCATTTGGAGCACTTTGAGGCCTATGTTGGAAATGGAAATATCATCACATAAAAACTAGACAGAAGCATTTTCAGAAACTCTTTGTATGTGTGTGTTCAATTCACTGAATTGAACCTTTCTTTTGATAGAGCACTTTTGAAACACTACGTTTGTAGAATCTGCTTGTGGATATATGAAACTCTTTGAGGAATTCGTTGGAAACGGGCTATCTTCCCAAAAAAAGTAGACAGAAGTATTCTCAGAAAGTTCTTTGTGATGTGTGCATTCATCTGACAGAGTTGAAACTTTCTTTTGAAACAGCAGATTTGATACATTTTTTCTGTATAGTCTGCAAGTGTCCATTTTTAGCGCTTAGAGGCCTATGGTGGATAAGGAAATATCTTCACATACAAACGAGACAGAAGCATTCTCAGAAACTGCTTTGTGATGTGTGCACTCAACTCACAGAGTTGAACCTTCCTTTGGAGAGAGCAGTTGTGAAACAGTCTTTTTGTGGTACCTGCAAGTGGGTATTTGGAGCGATATGAGGCCTCTGGTTTAAAAGGAAATATCTTCACATGAAAACTAGGCAAAAGCATTCTAAGAAACTGCTTTTTGATGTGTGCATTCAACTCACAGAGCTGAGCCTTTCTTTTGATAGAGCAGTTTTGAAACAGTCTTTTTGTATAATCTGCAGATGGATATTTGGGAGATTTGAGGCCTATGTTGGAAAAGGATATATCTTCACGTAAAAACTAGACAGAAGCATTCTCAGAAAGTTTTTTGTGAGGTGTGCATTCAACTCACAGAGTTGAAACTTTCTTTTGATAGAGCAGTTTTGAAACACTCCTTTTGTAGGATGTGCTTGTGAATATTTGGAGCTCTTTGAGGAATTCGTTTTAAAGGGGATATATTCACATACAAAATAGAAGCATTCTCAGAAACACTTTGTGAAGTGTGCTTTCAACTCATAGAGACGAACCTTCCTATTGAGAGGGCAGTTTTCAAATAGTGTATTTGTAGTATCTGCAAGTGGATATTTGGAGCGATTTGAAGACTATGGTGGAAAAGGAAATATCTTCACGTAAAAACTAGACAGAAGCTTTCTCAGAAACTGCTTTGTGATGTGTACATTCAACTCACAGAGTTGAGCCTTTCTTTTGATAGAGCAGTTTTGAAACAGTCTTTTTTTACAATCTGTGGGTGGATATTTGGAGCGATTTGAGGCCAATGTTGGAAAAGGATATATCTTCACATAGAAACTAGACAGAAACATTCCCGGGAACTTCCTTGTGATGTGTGCATTCAGCTAACAGAGTTGAAACTGTCTTTTGACAGACAAGTTTTGAAAAACTCTTTTTGAAAAATCTGCAAGTGTTCATTTGGAGAGCTTTGAGGCCTATGGTGGAAAAGAAAATATCTTCATATAAAAACTAGACAGAAGCATTCTCAGAAACTCCTTTGTGATTTGTGTGTTCAATTCACAGAGATGAACCTTTCTTTTGATAGAGCAGTTTTGAAACACTCCTTTTCTAGAATCTGCTTGTGGATATTTGGAACTCTTTCAGGAATTCGTTGGAAACGGGCTATCTTCAGAATAAAACTATACGGAAGCATCCTCAGAAACGGCTTTGTGATGTGGGCATTCAACTCACAGAGTGGAACACTTCTTTTGATAGAGTAGTTTTGAAACAGTATTTTTGTGTAATCTGCAAGTGTTCATTTGGAGCGCTTTGAATACTATGGTGGAAAAGGAAATATCTTCACATAAGAAATAGACAGAAGCCTTCTCGGGAACTTCTTTGAAATGTGTACATTCAACTACAGAGTTGAACTTGTCTTTTGATAGAGCAATTGAAACACTCCTTTTGTAAAATCTGCTTGTGGATATTTGGAACTCCTGGGGAATTCTTTGGAAACGGTTAACTTCACATAAAACCTAAACAGACGCATTCTCAGAAAGTTCTTTGTGATGTTTGCATTCAACTCACAGAGTTTAACATTTCTTTTGATAGAGGAGTTTTGAAACATACTTTTTGTAGAATCTGCCAGTGATCATTTGGAGTGCTGTTAGGACTACGGTGAAAAAGAAAATATCTTCACTTAAATAGTAGACAGAAGCATTCTCAGAAACACCTGTCTTATATGTGTGTTCAATTCACAGAGTTGAACCTTTCTTTTGTTAGAGAAGTTTTGAAACACTCATTTTGAGGAATCTGTTTGTGGATATATGAAAGTGTCTCAGGAATATGTTGGAAACGGGCTATCGTCACAAAAAAAGTAGACAGAAGGTTTCTCACAGATTTCTTTGGGATGTGTGCATTCCAGTCACAAAGTTGAACTTTTCATTTGACAGAGCAGATTTGAAACATTCCTTCTGTATAATCTGCAAGTTTTCATTCTGAGCGCTTAGAGGCCTAAGGTGGAAAAGGAAACATCTTCACATAAAAACTAGACAGAAGCATTCTCAGAAACTCCTTTGTGATTTGTGTGTTCAATTCACAGAGATGAACTTTTCTTTTGATAGAGCAGTTTTGAAACACTCCTTTTCTAGAATCTGCTTGTGGATATTTGGAATGCTTTGAGCAATTCTTTGGAAACGGGCTATCTTCAGAAAAATAAACTAGACAGAAGCATCCTCAGAAACGTCTTTGTGATGTGGGCATTCACCTCACAGAGTGGAACCCTTCTTTTGATAGAGCAGTTTGGACACAGTCTTGTTGTATAATCTGCAAGTGTTCATTTGGAGCGCTTTGAATCCTATGGTGGAAAAGGAAATATCTTCACATAAAAAATAGACAGACGCATTCTCGGGAACTTCTTTGATATGTGTGCGTTCAACTAACAGAGTTGAACTTGTCTTTTGATAGAGCAGTATTGAAACACTCCTTTTGTAGAATCTGCTTGTGGATATTTGGAACTCCTGTGGAATTCTTTGGAAGCAGTTAACTTCACATAAATCTTAGACAGTCGCATTCTCAGAAAGTTCTTTGTGATGTGTGCATTCAACTCACAGAGTTGAACCTTTCTTCTGTTAGAGCAGTTTTGAAACACACTTTTTGTAGAATCTGCAAGTGATCATTTGGAGTGCTGTGAGGACTATGGTGGAAAAGGTAATATCTTCACATAAAAACTAGACAGAAGCATTCTCAGAAACACCTTTCTTATGTGTGTGTTCAATTCACAGAGTTGAACCTTTCTTTTGATAGAGCAGTTTTGAAACACTCCTTTAGAGGGATCTGCTTGTGGATATATGAAGGTGATTCAGGAATACGTTGGAAACGGGCTATCTTCACAAAAAAAGTAGACAGAAGTACTCTCATTAATTTCTTTGTGATGAGTGCATTCCACTCACAGAGTGGAACTTCTCCTTTGATAGAGCAGATTTGAAAAGTTCCTTCTGTATAATCTGCAAGTGTTTATTCTGAGCGCATAGAGGCCTATGGTGGAAAAGGAAATATTGTCACATAAAAACTAGACAGAAGCATTTTCAGAAACTTTTTTGTGATGTGTGCATTCAACTCAAAGAGTGGAACATTTATTTTGATACAGCAGTTTTGAAACACTCCTTTTTTTGAAGAATCTGCTTGTGGATATATGGAGCTCTTTGAGGAATTCATTGTAAACAGGATATATTCACCAACAAAATTGAAGCATTCTCAGAAACTGCTTTGTAATGTCTGCATTCAACTCACAGAGTTGAGACTTCCTTTTGAGAGAGCAGTTTTGAAACAGTGTTTTTGTAGTATCTGCAAGTGGATATTTGGAGCGATTTGAGACTTAAAGTGGAAAAGGAAATATCTTCAAATAAAAAATAGACAGAAGCATTCTCACAAACTGCTTTGTGATGTGTGCATTAAACTCACACGGTTGAACCCTTCCTTTGATAGAGCAGTTTTGAAACAGTCTTTTTGTTGTATCTGCAACTGTTCATTTGGAGCGCTTTGGAGCCTATGGTGGAAGAGGTAATATCTTCACATAAAAACTAGACAGAAGCATTCTCAGAAACCTTTTTGTGATCTGTCCATTCAACTCACAGAGATGAACCTTTCTTTTGAGAGAGCAGTTTTGAAAAAGTCTTTTTGTGGTACCTGCAAGTGGATATTTGGAGCGATTTAAGGCCTATTGTGAAAAAGGAAATATCTTCACATAAAAACTAGACAGAAGCATTCTAAGAAACTGCTTTGTGATGTGTGCATTCACCTCACAGAGTGGAACCCTTCTTTTGATAGAGTATTTTTGAAAAAGTATTTTTGTAGAATCTGCAAGTGTTCATTTGGAGCACTTTGAATCTTATGGTGGAAAAGGAAATATCTTCACATAAAAAATAGAAGCAATCTCGGGAACTTCTTTGAGATGTGTGCATTCAACTAACAGATTAGAACTTGTCTTTTGATAGAGCAATATTGAAACACTCCTTTTGTAGAATCTGCTTGTGGATATTTGGAACTCATGGGGAATTCGTTGGAAATGGGTAACTTCACATAAAAACTAGACTGACGCATTCTCAGAAAGTACTTTGTGATGTGTGTATTCAGCTCACGGAGATGAATCTTTCTTTTGATAGAGCAGTTTTGAAACACACTTTTTGTAGAATCTGCAAGTGTTCATTTGGAGCGCTGTGAGGCCAAAGGTGGAAAAAGAAATATCTTCACATACAAACTAGACAGAATCATTCTCAGAAACACCTTAGTGATGTGTGTGTTCAATTCACAGAGTTGGACCTTTCTTTTGATAGAGCAGTGTTGAAACACTCCTTTTGTAGAGTCTGCTTGTGGATATATGAACCTCTTAGAGGAATTCACTGGTAACGGGCTATCTTCACAAAAAAAGTAGACAGAAGAATTCTCAGAAAGTTATTTGTTATGTGTGCATCACAGAGTTGAACCTTCTTTTGTTGGAGCAGTTTTGAAACATTCTTTCTGTATAATCTGCAAGTGTTCATTTATAGCGCTTAGAGGCCTATGGTGGAAAAGGAAATACCTTCACATAAAAAATAGGCAGAAGCATTCTCAGAAACTCTTTTGTGATGTGAACATTTACCTCACAGAGTTGAACCTTTCTTTTGATAGAGCAGTTTTGAAACACTCCTTTTGTAGGATCTACTTGCGGATATTCGGAGCTCTTTGAGGAATTCGTTGTAAACGGAATATCTTCACATACGAAATAGAAGCATTCTCAGAAACTGCTTTGTGACGTGTGCATTCAACTCACAGAGCTGAGCTTTTCTTTTGATAGAGCAGTTTTGAAACAGTGTTTTTGTCGTCTCTGCAAGTGGATATTTGGAGCGACGTGCGGCCTGTGGTGGAAAAGGAAATATCTTCACATAAAATGCTTCACATAAGTCGACAGAAGCATTTGCAGAAACTGCTTTGAGATGTGCGCATTCAACTCACACAATTGAACCCTTCCTTTGATAGAGCAGTTTTGAAACAGTCTTTTTGTAGAATCTGCAAGTGTTCATTTGGAGCGCTTTGAAGCCTACGGTGGATAAGGTAATATCTTCCCATAAAAACTAGACAGAAGCATTCTCAGAAACTTTTTTGTGATGTGTGCATTCAACTCACAGAGTTGAATCTTTCTTTTGATAGAGCAGTTTTGAAAAAATCCTTTTGTAGAATCTGCTCGTGGATATTTGGAGCTCTTTGTGGAATTCGTTGTTAACGCGATATCTTCACATACAAACTAGAAGCATTCTCAGAAACTGCTTTGAGATGTGTGCATCCAACTCACAGAGTTGAACCATCCTTTTGAGAGAGCAGTTCTGAAACAGTGTTTTTGTAGTATCTGCAAGTGGATATTTGGAGCGATTTGAGGCCTATGGTGGAAAAGGAAATATCTTCACATAAAAACTCGACAGAAGCATTCTCAGAAACTTCTTTGTGATGTGTGCATGCAACTCACAGTGTTGCCCCCTTCCTTTGATAGAGCAGTTTTGAATCAGTCTTTTTGTAGGATCTGCCAGTGTTCATTTGGAGCGCTTTGAACCCTATGGTGGAAAAGGTAATATCTTCACATAAAAACTAGACAGAAGCATTCTCAGAAACACCTTTGTGATGTGTGTGTTCAATTCACAGAGTTGAACCTTTCTTTGATAGAGTAGTTTTGAAACACTGCTTTTCTAGAATCCGCTTGTGGATATTTGGAGCTTTTTGAGAAAGTCGTTGTAAACTGGATAACTATACATACAAACTAGACAGAAGAATTCTGAGAAACTGCTTTGGGATGTGTGCATTCATCTCAACGTGTTGAACCTTCCTTTTGAGAGAGCGGTTTGGAAACAGTCTTTTTGTAGTTTCTGCAAGCGGATATTTGGAGCGATTTGAGGCCTATGGTGGAAAAGGAAATATCTTCACATGAAAACTAGACAGAAGCATTCTCAGAAACTTCTTTGTGATGTGTGCATTCACCTCACACAGTGGAACCCTTATTTTGATAGAGCAGTTTTGAAACAGTCTTTTTGTGGAATGTGCAAGTGTTCATTTGGAGTGCTTTGAAGCCTATGGTGGAAAAGGAAATATCTTCACATAAAAGCTAGACAGAAGCATTCTCAGGAACTTCTTTGAGATGTGTGCATTCAACTAACAGAGTTGAACCTGTCTTTTGATAGAGCAGTATTGAAACACTCCTTTTGTAGAATCTGCTTGTGGATATTTGGAACTCTTGGGGAATTCATTGGAAATGGGTATCTTCACATAAAAACTAGATGGAAGCATTCTCAGAAAGTCCTTTGTGATGTGTGCATTCAACTCACAGAGTTGAACCTTTCTTTTGTTAGAGCAGTTTTGAGACACTTTTTGTAGAATCTGCAAGTGTTCACTTGGAGCGCTTTGAGGCCTATGGTGGAAAAGGAAATATCTTCACATAAAAACTAGACAGAAGCATTCTCATAAGCTTCTTTGTGATATGTGCATTCAACTCACAGAGTTGAACCTTTCTTTTGATAGAGCAGTTTTGAAACACTTGTTTTGTAGAATCTGCTTGTGCATATATGTACCTCTTTGAGGAATTCTTTGGAAACAGGCTGTCTTCACAAAAAAAGCAGACAGAAGTATTCTCAGAAAGTTCTTTGTGATGTTTGCATTCAACTCATGGAGTTGAACCTTTCTTTTGGTAAAGCTGATTTGAAATATTCTTTTTGTATAATCTGCAAATGTTGATTTTGAGCGCTTAGAGACCTGTGGTGGAAAAGGAAATATCTTCACATAAAAACAAGACAGAAGCATTCTCAGAAACTGCTTTGTGATATGTATATTCAACTCAAAGTGTTGAGCCTTTCTTTTGATAGAGCAGTTTTGAAACAGTCTTTTTGTACAATCTGCAGGTGGATATTTGGAGCAATTGGAGGCCTATTTTGGAAAAGGATATATCTTCACATAGAAACTAGACAGAAGCATTCTCAGGAACTTCTTTGTGATGTGTGCATTCACCTCACAGAGTGGAACCCTTCTTTTGATAGAGTAGTTTTGAAACAGTCTTTTTTTAGAATTTCCAAGTTGATATTTAAAGCCCTTTGAGGCCTATGGTGGAAAAGGAGATATCTTCGCGTAAAAACTGGACAGAAGCATTCTCAGAAACTCCTTTGTGATGTGTGTGTTCAATTCACAGAGTTGAACCTTTCTTTTGATAGAGCAGTTTTGAAACACTCCTTTTGTGGAATCTGCTTGTGGATATTTGGAACTCTTTGAGGAATTCGTTGGAAACGTGCTATCTTCACAAAAAAACTAGACAGAAGTATTCTTAGAAAGTTCTTTGTGATGTGTGCATTCAACTCACAGAGTTGAACCTTTCTTTTGATAGAGCAGATTTGAAACTTTCTTTCTGTATAATCTGCAAATGTTCATTTTTAGGGCTTTGAGACCTATGATGGAAAAGGAAATATCTTCACATGAATACTAGACAGAAGTATTCTCAGAAACTTTTTTGTGATGTGTGCATTCAATTCACAGAGTTGAACCTTTCTTTTGATAGAGCACTTTTGAAACACTGCTTTATTTATTTATTTTTGTATTATTATTATACTTTGTTTTAAGGTGCATGTGCAAAACGTGCAGGTTAGTTACATATTTATACATGTGCCATGCTTGTGCACTGCATCCACTGACTCGTCATCAACCATTAGGTGTATGTCCCAATGCTATCCCTCCCCCCTTGCTCCACCCAACAACAGTCCCCAGAGTGTGATGTTCCCCTTCCTGTGTCCATTTGTTCTCGCTGTTCAATTCCCACCTATGAGTGAGAATTTGCGGTGTTTGGTGTTTTCTTCTTGTGATAGCTTACTGAGAATGATGATTTCCAATTTCATCCATGTCCCTACAAAGGACATGAACTCAACATTTTTTATGGCTGCATAGTATTCCATGGTGTATATGTGCCACATTTTCTTAATGTAGTCTATGACTGTTGGACATTTTGGTTGGTTCCAAGTCTTTGCTATTGTAAATAGTGCCACAATAAACATACGTGTGCATGTGTCTTTATAGCAGCATGATCTATAGTCCTTTGGGTATATATCCAGTAATGGGATGGCTGGGTCAAATGGTATTTCTAGTTCTAGATCCCTGAAGATTCACCACACTGACTTCCACAATGGTTGAACTAGTTTACAGTCCCATCAACAGTGTAAAAGTGTTCCTATTTCTCCAAGTCCTCTCCAGCACCTGTTGTTTCCTGACTTTTTAATGATTGCTATTCTAACTGGTGTGAGATGGTATCTCATTTTGGTTTTGATTTGCATTTCTCTGATGGCCAGTGATGATGAGAATTTTTTCGTGTGGTTTTTGGCTGCATAAATGTCTTCTTTTGAGAAGTGTCTGTTCATGTCCTTTGCTCACTTTTTGATGGGGTTGTTTGTTTTTTTCTTGTAAATTTGTTGGAGTTCATTTTAGATTGTGGATATTAGCCCTTTGTCAGATGAGTATGTTGTGAAAATTTTCCCCCATTTTGTAGGTTGCCTGTTTACTCTGATGGTAGTTTCTTTTGCTGTGCAGAAGCTCTTTAGTTTAATTAGATCCAATTTGTCATTTTTGGCTTTTATTGCCTTTGCTTTTGGTGTTTTAGATATGAAGTCCTTGCCCATGCCTATGTCCTGAATGGCGTTGCCTAGGTTTTCTTCTAGGGTTTTTATGGTTTTAGGCCTAACGTTCACGTCTTTAATCCATCTTGAATTGATTTTTGTATAAGGTGTAAGGTAGGGATCCAGTTTCAGCTCTCTACATATGGCTAGCCAGTTTTCCCAGCACCATTAATTAAATAGGGAATCCTTTCCCCATTGCTTGTTTTTCTCAGGTTTGTCAAAGATCAGATAGTTGTAGATATGTGGCATTTTTTCTGAGGGCTCTGTTCTGTTCCATTGATCTATATCTCTGTTTTGGTACCAGTGCCATGCTGTTTTGGTTACTGTAGCCTTGTAGTATAGTTTGAAGTCAGGTAGTGTGATACCTCCAGCTTTGTTCTTTTGGCTTAGGATTGACTTGGCAATGCAGGCTCTTTTTTGGTTCCATATGAATTTTAACGTGTTTTTTTTTTTCCAATTCTGTGAAGAAAGTCATTGGTAGCTTGATGGGGATGGCATTGAATCTGTAAATTACCTTGGGCCGGATGGCCATTTTCACAATATTGATTCTTCCTACCCATGAGCATGGAATGTTCTTCTATTTGTTTGTATCCTCTTTTATTTCCTTGAGCAGTGGTTTGTAGTTCTCCTTGAAGAGGTCCTTCACATCCCTTGTGAGTTGGATTCCTAGGTATTTTATTCTCTTTGAAGCAATTGTGAATGGGAATTCACTCATGATTTGGCTCTCTGTTTGTGTGTTGTTGGTGTATAAGAATGCTTGTGATTTTTGTACATTGATTTTGTATCCTGAGACTTTGCTGAAGTTGCCTATCAGCTTAAGGAGATTTTGGGCTGAGACAATGGGGTTTTCTTGATATACAATTATGTCGTCCGCAAACAGGGACAATTTGACTTCCTCTTTTCCTAATTGAATGCCCTTTATTTCCTTCTCCTGCCTAATTGCCCTGGCCAGATCTTCCAACACTATGTTGAATAGGAGTGGTGAGAGAAGACATCCCTCTCTTGTGCCAGTTTTCAAAGGGAATGCTTCCAGTTTTTGTCCATTCAGTATGATATTGGCTGTGGGTTTGTCATAGATAGTTCTTATTATTTTGAAATACATCCCATCAATACCTAATTTATTGAGAGTTTTTAGCATGAAGGGTTGTTGAATTTTGTCAAAGCCCTTTCCTGCATCTATTGAGATAATCATGTGTTTTTTGTCTTTGGTTCTGTTTATATGCTGGATTACATTTATTGATTTGCATATATTGAAGTAGCCTTGTATCCCAGGGATGAAGTCCACTTGATCATGGTGGATAAGCTTTCTGATGTGCTGCTGGATTCGATTTGCCAGTATTTTATTGAGGATTTTTGCATCAATGTTCATCAAGGTTATTAGTCTAAAATTCTCTTTTTTGTTTGTGTCTCTGCCCGGCTTTGGTATCAGGATGATGCTGGCCTCATAAAATGAGTTAGGGAGGATTCCCTCTTTTTCTATTGATGGGAATAGTTTCAGAAGGAATGGTACCAGTTCCTCCTTGTACCTCTGGTAGAATTCGGCTGTGAATCCATCTGGTCCTGGACTCTTTTTGGTTGGTAAGCTATTGATTATTGCCACAATTTCAGCTCCTGTTATTGGTCTATTCAGAGATTCAACTTCTTCCTGGTTTAGTCTTGGAAAAGTGTATGTGTCGGGGAATTTATCCATTTCTTCCAGATTTTCTAGTTTATTTGCGTAGAGGTGTTTGTAGTATTCTCTGATGGTAGTTTGTATTTCTGTGGGATCGGTGGTGATATCCCCTTTATCATTTTTAATTGCGTCTAGTTGATTCTTCCGTCTTTTCTTCTTTATTAGTCTTGCTAGCGGTCAATCAATTTTGTTGATCCTTTCAAAAAACCAGCTCCTGGATTCATTAATTTTTTGAAGGTTTTTTTGTGCCTCTATTTCCTTCAGTTCTGCTCTGATTTTAGTTATTTCTTGCCTTCTGCTAGCTTTTTTAATGTGTTTGCTCTTGCTCTTCTAGTTCTTTTAATTGTGATGTTAGGGTGTCAATTTTGGATCTTTCCTGCTTTCCCTTGTGGGCATTTAGTGCTATAAATTTCCCTCTACACACTGCTTTGAATGCGTCCCAGAGATTCTGTATGTGGTGTCTTTGTTCTCGTTGGTTTCAAAGAACATCTTTATTTCTGCCTTCATTGCATTATGTACCCAGTAGTCATTCAGGAGCAGGTTGTTAAGTTTCCATGTAGTTGAGCTGTTTTGAGTGAGAGTCTTAGTCCTGAGTTCTAGTTTGATTGCACTGTGGTCTGAGAGATAGTTTGTTATAATTTCTGTTCTTTTACATTTGCTGAGGAGAGCTTTACTTCCATCTATGTGGTCAATTTTGGAATAGGTGTGGTGTGGTGCTGAAAAAAATGTATATTCTGTTCATTTGGGGTGGAGAGTTCTGTAGATGTCTATTAGGTCTGCTTGGTGCAGAGCTGAGTTCAATTGCTGGGTATCCTTGTTGACTTTCTGTCTCGTTGATCTGTCTAATGTTGACAGTGTGGTGTTAAAGTCTCCCATTATTAATGTGCGGGAGTCTAAATATCTTTGTAGGTCACTCAGGACTTGCTTTATGTATCTGGGTGCTCCTGTATTGGGTGCATATATTTAGGATAGTTAGTTCTTCTTATTGAATTGATCCCTTTACCATTATGTAATGGCCTTCTTTGTGTCTTTTGATCTTTGTTGGTTTAAAGTCTGTCTTATCAGAGACTAGGATTGCAACCCATGCCTTTTTTTGTTTTCCATTTGCTTGGTAGATCTTCCTCCATCCTTTTATTTTGAGCCTATGTGTGTCTATTCATGTGAGACAGGTTTCCTGAATACAGCCCACTGATGGATCTTGACTCTTTATCCAATTTGCCAGTCTGTGTCTTTTAATTGGAGCATTTAGTCTATTTACGTTTAAAGTTAATATTGTTATGTGTGAATTTGATCCTGTCATTATGATGTTAGCTGGTGATTTTGCTCGTTAGTTGATGGAGTTTCTTACTAGTCTCGATGGTCTTTACATTTTGGCATGATTTTGCAGCAGCTGGTACCGGTTGTTCCTTTCCATGTTTAGTGCTTCCTTCAGGAGCTCTTTTAGGGCAGGTCTGGTGGTGACAAAATCTCTCAGCATTTGCTTGTCTGTAAAGGATATTATTTCTCCTTCACTTATGAAGCTTAGTTTGGCTGGATATGAAATTCTGGGTTGAAAATTCTTTTCTTTAAGAATGTTGAATATTGGCCCCCACTCTCTTCTGGCTTGTAGGGTTTCTGCTGAGAGATCTGCTGTTAGTCTGATGGGCTTCCCTTTGAGGGTAACCCAATCTTTGTCTCTGGCTGCCCTTAACATTGTTTCCTTCATTTCAACTTTGTTGAATCTGACAATTATGAGGCTTGGAGTTGCTCTTCTCGAGGAGTATCTTTGAGGCATTCTCTGTATTTCCTGAATCTGAATGTTGGCCTGCCTTGCTAGATTGGGGAAGTTTTCCTGGATAATATCCTGCAGAGTGTTTTCCAACTTGGTTCCAGTCTCCCTGTCACTTTCAGGTACACCAATCAGACGTAGGTTTGGTCTTTTCACACAGTCCTATATTTCTTGAAGGCTTTGCTCGTTTCTTTTTATTCATTTTTCTCTAAGCTTCCCTTCTCGCTTCATTTCATTCATTTCATCTTCCATTGCTGATACCCTTTCTTCCAGTTGATCGCATTGGCTCCTGAGGCTTCTGCATTCTTCACGTAGTTCTCGAGCCTTGGTTTTCAGCTTCATCAGCTCCTTTAAGCACTTCCCTGTATTTGTTATTCTAGTTTTACATTCTTCTAAATTTTTTTCAAAGTTTTCAACTTATGTGCCTTTGGTTTGAATGTCCTCCCGTAGCTCAGTGTAATTTGATCATCTGAAGCCTTCTTCTCTCAGCTCGTCAAAGTCATTCTCCGACCAGCTTCATTCCGTTGCTGGTGAGGAACTGCGTTCTTTGGAGGAGGAGAGATGCTCTGGTTTTTAGAGTTTCCAGTTCTTCTGCTCTGTTTTTTCCCCATCTTTGTGGTTTTATCTACTTTTGGTCTTTGATGATGGTGATGTACAGATGGGTTTTTGGTGTGCGTGTCCTTTCTGTTTGTTATTTTTCCTTTTAACAGAAAGGACCCTCAGCTGCAGGTCTGTTGGAATACCTGGCCGTGTGAGGTGTCAGTCTGTGCCTGCTGGTGGGTGCCTCCCAGTTAGGCTGCTTTGGGATCAGGGGTCAGGGACCCACTTGAGGAGGCAGTCTGCCCGTTCTCAGATCTCCAGCTGCCTGCTGGGAGAACCACTGCTCTCTTCAAAGCTGTCAGACACGGACATTTAAGTCCACAGAGGTTACTGCTGTCTTTTTGTTTGTCTGTGCCCTGCCCCCAGAGGTGGAGTCTACAGAGGCAGGCAGGCCTCCTTGATCTGTGGTGGGCTTCACCCAGTTCGAGCTTTCTGGCAGCTTTGTTTACCTAAGCAATCCTGGGCAATGGTGGACGCCCCTCCCCCGGCCTCGGTGCCTCCTTGCAGTTTGACTTCAGACTGCTGTGCTAGCAATCAGTGAGACTCCATCAGCGTAGGACCCTCCCAGCCAGGTGCCGGATATAATCTCCTGGTTCACCGTTTTTTAGGCCGATTGGAAAGTGCAGTATTCGGGTGGGAGTGACCCGATTTTCCAGGTGCTGTCTGTCACCCCTTTCTTTGCCTAGGAAAGGGAACTCTCTGACCCCTTGCACTTCCCGAGTGAGACAATGCCTCGCCCTGCTTCAGCTCGTGCACGGTGCACACACCCACTGACCTGCGCCCACAGTCTGGCACTCCCTAGTGAGATGAACCGGGAACCACAAATGGAAATGCAGAAATCACCTGTCTTCTGCGTTGCTCACACTGGGAGCTGTAGAACGGAGCTCTTCCTACTCGGCCATCTTGGATCCTACTCCGAAACCCTGCTTTTGTAGAATCTGCTTGGGGATATTTGGAGCTCTTTGAGGAATTTGTTGTAAACGGGATATCTTCACATACAAACGAGACGGAAGCATTCTCAGAAACTGCTTTGTGATGTGTGCAATAAACTCACAGAATCGAACCTTCCTTTCGAGAGAGCAGTTTAGAAAGAGTCTTTTTGTGGTACCAGCAGGTGGATATTTGGAGCGATTTGAAGCCAATGGTGGAAAAGGAAACATCTTCACATAAAAACTAGACAGAGGCATTCTCAGGAACTTCTTTTAGAAGTGTGCATTCAACTAACAGAGTTGAATCTGTCTTCAGATAGAGCATTATTGAAACACTCTTTTTGTAGAAATTGCTTGTGGATTTTTGGAACTCTTTGAGGAATTCGTTGGAAACGGTTATCTTCACATAAAAACTAGAAAGAAGCATTCTGAGAAAGTTCTTTCTGATGTGTGTATTCAACCCACAGAGTTGAACATTTCTTTTGATAGAGCAGTTTCCAAACACACTTTTCGTACAATTTGCAAGTGTTCATTTGGAGCGCTTTGAGTCCTATGGTGGAAAGGAAAATATCTTCACATAAAAACTAGACAGAAGCATTCTCAGAAACACCTTTGCGATGTGTATGTTCAATTCAAAGAGTTGAACCTTTCTTTTGATAGAGAAGATTTGAAACACTCCTTTTGTAGAATCTACTTGTGGATATATGAAACTCTTTGAGAAATTCGTTGAAAATGGGGTATCTTCAGAAAAAAACGACACAGAAGTATTGTCAGAAAGTTCTTTGTGATGTGTGCATTCAACTCACAGAGTTGAACCTTTCTTTTGATACAGCAGATATGAAATATTCTTTTTGTATAATCTGCAAGTGTTCATTTTGAGCGCTTTGAGGCCTATGGTGGAAAAGGAAATATCTTCACATGAAAACTAGACAGAAGCATTCTCAGAAACTTTTTTTTTGATGTGTGCATGCAATTCACAGAGTTGAACCTTTCTTTTCATAGAGCAGTTTTGAAACACTGCTTTTGTAGAATCTACTTGTGGATATTTGGAGCTCTTTGCAGAATTCCTTGTAAAGGGGATATCTACACATACAAACTAGACAGAAGCATTCTCAGAAACTGCTTTGTGATGGTGCATTGAACTCACAGAGTTGAACCTTCCTTTAGAGAGAGCAGTTTTGAAACAGTCTTTTTGCAGTATCTGCAAGCAGATATTTGGAACGATTCGAGGCCTGTGGTGGAAAAGGAAATATCTTCACATAAAAACTAGACAGAAGCATTCTCAGAAACTGCTTTGTGATGTGTGCATTCACCTCACTGAGTGGAACCCTTCTTTTGATAGAGCAGTTTTGAAACAGTTTTTTGTAGAATTTGTATCTGTTCAATTTTGCGCTTTGAAACCTATGTTGGAAAAGGAAATATCTCCATGTAAAAACTAGACAGAAGCATTCTCAGGAACTACTCTGAGATGTGTGCTTTCAACTAACAGAGTTGAAGCTGTCTTTTGATAGAGCAGTATTGAAACACTGCTTTTGTAGAATCTGCTTGTGGATAATTGAAACAGTTGGGGAATTCGTTGGAAACATGTATCTTCACATAAAATTAGACAGAAGCATTCTCAGAAAGTTCTTTTTGATGTGCGCATTCAACTCACAGAGTTGAAATTTTCTTTTGATAAACCAGTTTTGAAACACACTTTTTGTAGAATCTGCAAGTGTTCATTTGGAGTGCTTTGAATTGTATGGTGGAAAAAGAAATATCTTCACATAAAAACTAGGCAGAAGCATTCTCAGAAACAACTTTGGGATCGGTGTGTTCAATACAGAGTTGAACCTTTCTTTCGATAGAGCAGTTTTGAAACACTCCTTTTGTAGAATCTACTTGTGGATACATGAAACTCTTTGAGGAATTCGTTGGAAACGGGCTATCTTCAGAAAAAAACTAGACAGAAGTATTCTCAGAAAGTTCTTTGTGATGTGTGCATTCAACTCACAGAGTTGAACCCTTCTGTTGATAAAGCAGTTTTGAAGCACTCCTTTTGTAGAATCTTCTTGTCGATATTTGAAGTCTTTAAGGAATTCGTTGTAAATGGGATATCTTCACATACAAAATAGAAGCATTCTCTGAAACTGCTTTGTGATGTGGGGAATCATCTGAGTTGAACCTTCCTTTTGAGACAGCAGTTTTGAAACAGTGTTTTTGTAGAATCTACAAGTGGACATTTGGAGGGACATGAGGTCTATGCTGGAAAAGGAAATATCTTCACAAAAAATTTAGACAGAAGCATTCACAGAAACTGCTTTGTGATGTGTGCATTCAAGTCACAGAGTTGAACCCTTCCTTTGATAGAACGGATCTGCAAGTGGATATTTGGAGCGAATTGAGGCCTATGGTGGAAAAGGAAACACCTTCACATAAAATCCAGACAGAAGCATTCTCAGAAACTGCTTTCTGTTGTGTGCATTCAACCCACAGAGTTGAACCCTTCCTTTGATAGAGCAGTTTTGAAACAGTCTTTTTGTAGAATCTGCAAGTGTTCATTTGGAGCGCTTTGAAGCATATGGTGGAAAAGGAAATATCTTCACATAAAAACTAGACAGAAGCATTCTCAGAAACTTTTTTGTGATGTGTGCATTCAACTCACAGAGTTGAACCTGTCTTTTGATAGAGCAGTTTTGAAACACTCCTTTTGTAGAAACTGCTTGTGGATATTTACAGCTCTTTGTAGAATTCGTTGTAAACGGGATATCTTCACATACAAACTAGACAGAAGCATTCTCAGAAACTGCTGTGTGATGTGTGCATTCAACTCACAGAGTTGAACCTTTCTTTTGAGGGAGCAGTTTTGAAACAGTCTTTTTGTGGTACATGCAAGTGGATATTTGGAGCAATTTGAGGCCTATGGTGGAAAAGGAAATATGTTTACATAAAAACTAGTCAGAAGCATTCTCAGAAACTATTTTGTGATGTGTGCATTCAACTCACAAAGTTGAGCCTTTCTTTTGATAGAGCAGTTTTGAAAAACTGTTTTTGTAGAATCTGCATGTGCATATTAGGATCAATTTGAGGCCTCTGTTGGAAAAGGATATATCTTCACATAAAAACTAGACAGAAGCAATCACAGGAAGTACTTTGTGATGTGTGCATCCAGCTAAACAGAGTTGAACGTTTCTTTTGACAGAGTAAGTTTGAAACAGTCTTTTTGTAAAATCTGCAAGTGTTCATTTGGAGAGCTTTGAGGCCTATGGTGGAAAAGGAAATATCTTCACATAAAAATTAGACAGTGGCATTCTCAGGAACTTCTTTTAGAAGTGTGCATTTAACTAACAGAGTTGAATCTGTCTTTGGATAGAGCAATATTGAAACACTCTTTTTGTAGAATCTGCTTGTTGATTTTTGGAACTCTTTGAGGAATTCGTTGGAAATGGATATCTTCACATAAAAACTAGACAGAAGCATTCTCAGGAACTTTTTGTGATGTGTGCATTCAGCTAAACAGAGTTGAACCTTTCCTTTGACAGAACAGTTTTGAAACACTCTTTTTGTAAAATCTGCATGTGTTCATTTGGAGCGCTTTGAGGCCTATGGTAGAAAACGAAAATATCTTCACATAAAAATTAGACAGAAAGATTCTCAGAAACAACTTTGTGATGTGTGTGTTCAATTGACAGAGTTGAATCTTTCCTTTGATAGAGCAGTTTTGGAACCCTCCTTTTGTAGAATCTGTGGATATATGCAACTCTTAGAGGAATTCTTTGGAAATGTTTTATCTTCAGAACAAAACTACACAGAAGTATTGTCAGAAAGTGCTTTGTGATGTGTGCATTCTACTCACAGAGTTGAAACTTTCTTTTGATACAGCAGGTATGAAACATTCTTTCTGTATAATCTGCAAGTGTTCATTTTGAGAGCTTTGAGGCCTGTGGTGGAAAGGTAATACCTTCACATGAAAACTAGACAGAAGCATTCTCAGAAACTCCTTTGTGATGTGTGCATTCAACTCACAGAGTTGAACATTTCTTTTGAAAGAGCAGTTTTGAAACACTCCTTTTTTAGAATCTGCTTGTGGATATTTGGAGCTCTTTGAGGAATTCGTTGTAAATGGTATATCTACACTTACAAACTAGACAGAAGCATTCTCTGAAACCTTTTTGTGATGTGTGCATTCAGTTCACAGAGTTGAACCTTTCTTTTGATAGAGCAGTTTTGAAACACTGCTGTTGCAGTATCTGCTTGTGCATATTTGGAGCTCTTTGAGGAATTCGTAGTAAACGGAATATCTTCACATTCTAACTAGAGAGAAGCATCCTCAGAAACTGCCTTGTGATGTCTGCGTTCAATTCACAGAGTTAAATATTCCTTTTGTGAGAGCAGTTTTGAAACAGTCTTTTTCTAGGATCTGCAACTGGATATTTGGAGTGATTTGAGGTCTGCGGTGGAAAAGGAAATATCTTCACACAAAAACTAGACTGAAGCATTCTCAGGAACTTCTTTGTGATGTCTGCTTTCAACTCGCAGAGTTGAACCCTTCCTTTAATGGAGCAGTTTTGCAACAGTATTTTTGTAGAATCTGCAAGTGTTCATTTGGAGCGCTTTGAAGCTGATGGTGAAAAAGGAAATATCTTCATGTAAAAACTAGACAGAAGCATTTTCAGAAACTCCTTTGTGATGTGTGCATTCAACTCACAGAGTTGAACATTTCTTTTGATAGAGCAGTTTTGAAACACTCCTTATGTAGAATCTGCTTGTGGATATTTGGAACTCTTTGAAGAATTCGTTGTAAACGGGATATCTTCACATACAAACAAGACAGAAGCATTCTCAGAAACACCTTTGTGATGTGTGTGTTCAATTCACAGAGTTTAATCTTTCTTTTGATAGAGCAGTTCTGAAACACTCCTTTTGTAGAATCTGCTTGTGAAGATATGAAACTCTTTGAGGTAGTAATTGGAAACGGGCTATCCTCCCAAAAAAAGTTGACAGAAGTATTCTCGGAAAATTCTTTGTGATGTGTGCATTTGACTCACAGAGTTGAACCTGTCTTTTGATAGAGCAGATTTGAAATATTCCTTCCGTATAATCTGCAATTGTTCATTTTGAGCGCTTAGAGGACTATGGTGGAAGAGGAAATATCTTCACATAAAAACTAGGCAGAAGAATTCTCAGAAACTATTTGTGATGTGTGCATTCAACTCACAGAGTTGAACCTTTCTTTTGATAGAAAAGTTTTGAACCACTCGTTTTGTGGAATCTGCTTGTGGATATTTGGAGCTGTTTCAGGAATTCGTTTTAAACGGGATATCTTCACATACAAATAGAAGCATTCTCAGAAACTTCTCTGTGAGGGGTGCAATCAACTCACAGATTTGAGCCTTACTTTTGAGAGAGCAG
Source organism: Homo sapiens (assembly GCF_000001405.40). Classification (NCBI taxonomy): domain Eukaryota; kingdom Metazoa; phylum Chordata; class Mammalia; order Primates; family Hominidae; genus Homo; species Homo sapiens. The sequence continues at coordinate 37,329,311 of NC_000012.12, forward strand.
TTTTGAAACAGTGTTTTTGTAGTATCTGCAGGTGGACATTTGGAGCGATTTGAGGCCTATGTTGGAAAAGGATATATCTTCACATAAAAACTAGAAAGAAGCATTTGCAGAAACTGCTTTGTGATGTGTGCCTTCAGCTAACAGAGATGAACTTTTCTTTTGACACTTCAGTTTTGAAACTCTCTTTTTGCAATATCTGTAAGTGTTCATTTGGAGAGATTCAAAGCCTATGGTGGAAAAGGAAGTATCTTCACATAAAAACTAGACCGAAGCATTCTCAGAAACTCCTTTGTGATGTGTGTGCTCAATTCACAGAGTTGAACCCTTCTTTTGAAAAAGCAGTTTTGAAACACTCCTTTTATAAAATCTGCTTCTGGATATTTGGAGCTCTTTGAGGAATTCATTGTAAATGGGATATCTTCACATACAACCTAGACAGAAGCATTCTCAGAAACTGCTTAGTGATGTGTGCATTCAACTCACAGGGTTGGACATTCCTTTGGAGAGATCAGTTTTGAAACAGTATTTTTGTAGTATCTGCAAGAGGATATTTCAAGTGATTCGAGTCCTACTGTTGAAAAGGATGTATATTCACTTAAAAACTAGGCAGCAACATTCCCGGAAACTGCTTTGTGATGTGGACATTAAACTCACAGAGTTGAACCCTTCTTCTGATAGAGCAGTTTTGAAATAGTCTTTTTGCAGAATCTGCAAGGGTTCATTTGGAGCGCTTTGAAGACTATGGTGGAAAAGGAAATATCTTCACTTGAAAACTAGACAGAAGCATTCTCAGGAACGTCTTTCAGATGTGTGCATTCAACTAACAGAACTGAATCTGTCTTTTGATAGAGCAGTATTGAAACACTAATTTTGTAGGATCTGCTTGTGGATATTTGGAACTCTTTGAAAAATTCGTTGGAAATGGCCATATTCACATAAAAGCTAGATAGAAGCATTATCAGAAAGTACTTTGTGATGTGAGCATTCAACTCACAGAGTTGAATCTTTCTTTTGATAAAGCAGTTTTGAAACACACTTCTTGTAGAATCTGCAAGTGTTCATTTGGAGCCCTTTGAGGACTATGGTGGAAAAGGTAATACCTTCACATTAAAACTAGACAGAAGCATTCTCAGAAACTGCTTTGTGATGTGTGCATTCAACTCACATAGTTGAGCCTACCTTTAGAGAGAGCTGTTTTGAAACATTGTTTTTGTATATCTACAAGTGGATATTTGGAGCGATTTGAGGCCTATGTTGGAAAAGGAAATACCTTCACCTAACAACTAGACAGTAACATTCTCAAAAACTGCATTGTGATTGTGCATTCAACTCAGAGAGTTGAACCCTTCCTTTGATAGAGCAGTTTTGAAACACTCCTTTTGTACAATCTGCCTGTGGATATATGAAAGTCTTCGAGGTAGTCGTTGGAAACATTCTATCCTCCTAAAAAAAGTACACAGAAATATTCTCAGAAAATTCTTTGGGATGTGTGCATTCAACTCACAGAGTTGAACCTTTCTTTTGACAGAGCAGTTTTGAAACTTTCCTTCTTTATAATCTGCAAGTGTTCATTTTGAGCTCTTTGAGGTCTACGGTGGATAAGGTAATATCTACACATAAAAACAAGACAGAAACATTCTCAGAAACTTCTTTTTGATGTGTGCATTCAACTCACAGAGTTGAACTTTTCTTTTGATAGAGCAGTTTTGAAACACACTTTTGTAAAATCTGCAAGTGTTCATTTGGAGCGCTTGGAGGCCTATGGTGGAAAAGGAAATATCTTCACATACAAACTAGACAGAAGCATTTTCAGGAATGCCTTAGAGATGTGTGCATTCAACTAACACAGTTGAGCCTTTCTTTTGATAGAGCAGTTTTTAAACAGTCTTTTTGTAGAATCTGCAGGTGGATATTTTGTGCGATTTGAGGCCTATGTTGGAAAATGATATATGTTCACATAAAAACTAAACAGAAGCATTCTCAGGAACTTCTTTGTGATGTGTGAATTCAGCTAACAGAGCTGAAACATTCTTTTGACAGAGCAGTTTTGAAAAACTCTTTTTGTAAAATCTGCAAGTGTTCATTTGGAGTGCTTTGAGGCCTATGGTGGAAAAGGAAATATCTTCACATAAAAACTAGACAGAAGCATGCTCAGAAACACCTTTGTGAAGTGTGTGTTTAACTCACAGTGTTGAAACTTCCTTTTCAGAGAGCAGTCTTGAAACAGTCTTTTTGTAGTATCTGCAAGTGGATATTTGGAACGATTTCAGGCCTATGATGGAAAAGGAAATATCTTCACCTAAAAACTAGACAGAAGCATTCTCAGAAACTGCTTTGTGATGTGTGCATTCACCTCACAGAGTGGAACACTTCTTTGGAAAGAGCAGTTTTCAAACAGCCTTTTTGTAGAGTCTGCAACTGTTTATTTGGAGTGCTTTGAAGCCTATGGTGGAAAAGGAAATATCTTCACATAAAAACTAGACAGAAGCATTCTCAGGAACGTCTTTGAGATGTGTGAATTCACCAAGCAGATTTGAATCTGTCTTTTGATAGAGCAGTAGTGAAACACTCCTTTTGTAGTATCTGCTTGTGGATATTTGGAACTCTTGGATGAATTCGTTGGAAACTGGTATCTTCATATAAAAACTGACAGAAGCATTCTCAAAAATTCCTTGCGATGTGCGCATTCAGTCCACAGAGTAGAACTTTTCTTTTGATAGAGCAGTTTTGAAACACACTTTTTGTAAAATCTGCTAGTGTTCATTTGGAGGGCTTTGAGGCCTATGGAGGAAAAGGAAATACCTTCACATAAAAACTAGACAGAAGCATTCTCAGAAACAACTCTGTGATGTGTGTGTTCAATTCACAGAGTTGAACCTTTCTTTTGATAGAGCAGTATGGAAACACTCCTTTTGTAAAATGTGCTTGTGGATATATGAATCTCTGTGAGAAATTCGTTGGAAATGGGCTATCTCCAGAAAAAAAGTAGACAGAAGTATTCTCAGAAAGTTCTTTGTGATGTGCTCATTCAACTCACAGAGTTGAACCCTTTCTTTGACAGAGCAGTTTTGAAAACAGTCTTTTTGTAGTATCTGCATGTGTTCATTTGGAGCTCTTTGAGGCCTATGGTGGAAAAGGAAATATCTTCACATAAAAACTAGACAGAAGCATTCTCAGAAACATTTTTGTGATGTGTTCATTCAACTCACAGAGTTGAACCTTTCCTTTGATAGAGCAGTTTTGAAACACTCCTTTTGTAGAATCTGTTTGTGGATATTTGGAACTCTTTGAGGAATTCGTTGTAAACGGGGTAACTTCACATACAAACAAGACAGAAATATTCTCAGAAACTGCTTTGTAATGTGTGCATTCAACTCACAGAGTTGAACCTTCCTTTTGAGAGAGAAGTTTTGAAGCAGACTTTTTGTGGTAACTGCAAGTGGATATTTGGAGCGATTTGATGCCAATGTTGGGAAAGGAAATTTCTTCATCTAAAAACTAGACAGAAGCATTCTGAGAAACTGCCTTGTGATGTGTGCATTCAACTCACAGAGTTGAGCCTTTCTCTTTATAGAGGAGTTTTGAAACAGTCACTTTGTAGAATCTGCTGGTGGATATTTGGTGCGATTTGAGGCCTATCCTGGAAAAGGATATATCTTCACATAAAAACAAGATGGAAGCATTCTCAGGAACTTCTTGGTGATGTGTGCATTCAATTGACAGAGTTGAAACTTGCTTTTGATAGAGCAGTTTTGAAACACTGCTTTTGTAGAATCTGCTTGTGGATATACGGAACTGTTTGAGGAATTCGTTGTAAACGCAATATCTTCACATGCAAACTAGACGGAAGCATTCTCAGAAACTTCTTTGTGATGTGTACATTGAACGCACAGACTTGAACATTCCTTTTGA